>NW_018654720.1:0-174808 GCF_000001405.40 Homo sapiens
TGTGAATCATGGAAGGACAGAAGAATTGAGCAATGTTATATGTACAAAACTAAGGGAGAGAAAATAAGGTTGTAAAATTACACTGAAAAAGAGGATCTTGAAGATATTGGCCAAAAAAAGGAACTGTAATCTTGGCATGCCACGATTTTTGTTCCAAAAAATTGACAGAAAAGATCAGTAAATAAATTATTTTTAAATATTCTCAAATGGGTGGAAAGGAAGTTGTCATGCATAAATTATCCCCAATTGAAAGTAAACTTGACAAAAACTGTTGTATCTTCGTAAATGCCATGTATATGTTATAATAATATTGATAGATGTGAATATGTATACATATGCCTTATACACTGCTAAATATTTTATATACTATTTTAAAAGACAAAAGTATATCCCAGAATTAAGCTATTCACCTAATGTACTGGCAGATATCCTAATCTTTTTAAATCTCTTTTATTATTAAAAATAGGATTACACGAAGCCTGCTGCTCAGATGAATTTTACAAAGATATGTTTTCATTAAAACTAGTTTTTGTAAGTATCTGTCTTCTTTTCTTTCTTTTATTTCTCCTGAGTATGAGGCCTTGAAATTTGTGATTGCTGTTTTTTTGCTTGGTATCATCTTATGCCCTTTGCCCCTGTGAGGAATGATGTGGATTTATTCTTCTTAAAAAGACTCAATTAGCACACTGTCTCTGAATCCTTCTAACTTTCCTTGTACATTAAGTTATAGATTAAAGGATTACAGAGCCAATTCTTCCTTTAGAAAGAGACAAGAGTAGAGGCCAAGATAGCTGCTCACTGTCACAGCATTCACTCAGCAAAAGCTGTGGTGGCAGAGAATGTTAGCTATGTTCCCAATATCCATTCTCCCCTTCTTCCTTAGTTTCAGAAATCCAAGTTGAGGAGGTAGTGGCATTGTACTCAGATTTAAGAACAATACATTTTCTAGATTTACATACTGATATAAATGATGTATGTTTAAGTTTTGACTAATGAGATGTAAGTTGAAGTTGTTGGTTGCACCTTTGGGAAAAACTTTATAAAGAGACTTGATGACTAGCGCATGCTCTTCACATGAACAATGCTTGGAGATCCAGGAGTTATCTTGAAAGAATGAGGAAAAATGCCCTACTTTAAAGTATATATACTCCCAGATATTAATACAGTCCAATTAATATTTTTAAAATTAATTAAAATATTTTTGTCTGGTATGGTTCTGAATGCATATTTAAGTACATTTTGTTATCTTATTTTTTATTTGAAAGGATGCTTTCTAATTGCTTTTTACAATTATGGACAATATTTACCTGGTTTTGGAATCTTTATTCTTTGAACATATTTCCTTTTATTAGCAACTACTTTAAAATGCTTAAATGAGTTTTTAATGCATTATTTAGGCATGATTGCATTTTATTCTAGGGGCTACCTATCTACTCATGCTTTATGCATGCTTTTAGCTTTCCTTTTCTTTTTGAGTAGAGAGGACTATTTTCTTTTTTTTTTTTCCTTCTTGTAAGGAATATTGGAACTCGTTGGCAACTTCTTTTTACTACTTCTCTCCCTCTCCATATCATCTAATTTGAAGTAATGTCCTACTCCTATTCAATTCCTGTAAATCAAACATTAAGCTTATTCTACTTTACTTATATTCATCTCTGTGATTTTTGATATTTGTGTTCATCGTGTCAGAATATACAATCATTCCATTTTATATTGACTATTACTTAGTCTTAAAATATAGGCAAATACATATTTAATTATTATCAACACTGCTTACATTGATATTTCTCTAATCCTTTGGTTGCCTAAAGGGTAGAGCTCATTAGAACAATATTTCTGAAATTCTCCATGTTTATAGCAGTTTGTCTGTCACCTATATACTTGAATCAACTTTGGCTAGTTACAAAATTCTTGGCTTATATTTTATATCCCTTGTTATCTAAAATATATTACTCCATTGTTTCTGGCAAAAAGAAATGTTTGCTGTCAAAGATTTAGTAGCAGTCTCTGTTTTCCTTATAAGTATTTCATCATTTTTGCCTTAATGCCTTTTTAAAAATTCTCTTAAGTTCAGTAGTCTTACTAGAACTGGTGTTATTTCTGGCCATTATAGGTCACATACATGGCATGACCTATCAATATGTAGTTTCTTATTTCAGATTTTTAAACATTTATTTATATTTGTTTTGCTCCTTTACTTTGGTATTCTTCTATTACTTGCCTATCTTCTATATTTTTTACTTCTTGAATTAACTCCTCCCCTCCCCTCCCCTCCCCTTCCCTTCCTTTTTTTTCTTTCTTTCATATTAAAAAAATCCCCATTCCATCTTCTAATTATCTTAATTGGTTGTCTGTTGTTTTAAGTCACTCTTGTGTTTCTTCAAGTTTTACCTTCACTTGTGAAATATTTTTCTAAAATAATTTGTTTTGGATTACTTTTTTTTCCTCGAATCTTTTTTTTATGATCAATTTGTCATTGAGTTTTTCTAATTCTGATTTACGTTGTTCTTTTATATCCTCTATCACTTTTTACATTTAGTTACTTGAAAAGTAGAGGGTTTTATTTTTCCTGCTGTTGGGATGCTATTCTGTTCCTTATTCTCTTTTCTTTATAATAATGTCATAACAATACGACTAAAATCCTTGTAAAGTTCTATTACCCTAGTTTATCTGTAGAGGGGATTCTTCCACCTAAATCCCATATAATATATTTGTGGTTGTCTCAGTACCTGCAATCATCTGTTTGCAATGCTGATTTCCCTGTCTTCTCAGCCTCTTTGTCTTTTTTAATATCTCGGACTTAGTTCATTTCTTTTGCTACTTTTCCAATTTATATACTATACATATGTTGTAGGTTCATATTTCTTCAGAACTGTATGTCCATGAAGCATACATTCATCTACCAGCCCTTATAAAACCAAACTGTGAGCTTTCTTTCAAGTTCGAGTATATTATAATATATTATCTCCAGCTGGCATGTTTGCATACAATCTTGGTCTCAAAATTTCATCATTTTAAATTGTTTTGTCACTAAATAAGTCCTGATTCAACAGTCTGTTGCTATAAAGAGTGTTGTAGCTTATTGTGAATATTTAATTTAAGTGTTGTATTGCAAGAACCATTGATAAGAGGAAAGTTGTAAGGAGAAAAATAACATATGTTAACTTTTGTAGAAAATAATTTGGCTTGAATTGATCACTTGTTTGCCAGAAAGGCACCACATTGACTTTAGAATAACAATGAAATTGGCATCCTTGCTATAATCCTGGATACTAAAATAACATGTTGATTAATTACTGGTATCAACATTTCTTCTGGACATTACTCTTTTCAATATCACATTTTTAGTTTGCTTAATATAAATAGTTATGACATAAAAATACTCCATTTGCAAAGTTTTTGGAAGATTTCCATAGAAATATACTGGAAATTACCATAAGACCAGAGAGTATACATCTTTGAAACTTGCCATGGATTTAGAAATTTCATTATATTTCAGCATTTGCTTATCAGAGTTATTTAGTATGTATTGAGGAAAGAAACTACATAGGTGTGTTTAAGTACTTTTAATTCATTTATAATTAGCCTATTATTTCCATTATTACAAGTAATTTTATGATAAATTTTATTCAAACTAATTTCTACAACAATGGAAAGCCCCACGTACCTATTAAGTAAGAAATATTCTCTACCTTGAAATGCTTGTGTTATATATGCTACTACTGCATCTTCCCCTGAAAAAACCTTTTAGCTTTTCAACCAGCTAATGTCTCATTTCCAAGATAATGCTAATGAGAATTTTAGTAAAATAGAGGGTAGCAACCTGTCATTTGACACTCATCCTGAAGGAAGGAACACCTGCCTGAATTACATTTAGTATCAGTTAATAGAGTCTTTCTCTACACTTTTCAAATGGCTCTATGTTTAGAAAAACATTTCCTAAGAGAAGCATTTCCTGTACTCAAGTCATATTATATGTAATACATAAATTATAATTTACAGTGTTTACTAAAAGATGACAATGTTCCTATGAAAAAGTTAAAATGATTACAGTTTATTGTCCTTCATCCTCCTGCTATGTGGCCTCTCAGCAATTTTTCCTTTTTTATCCTTTAATACTGGAATATGTATTTTCAAGGTAATTTGTTATTTTGTTTCTTGGTAATTTGTTATTTTGTTTCTTTTTGCTATCAGTTATGAATCTGTCTGAAATGATTTGGCCACATACTATGAGAAAAGTTTTGATGCAACTACCTGTAAATTTACATTAAGTTGGAACCATTGAGGCATGTGTGACTGAGTGCCAATGAGACATATGCTGGCACCATCATATATTGGCTTCTTTTTGTGCATTGTTTCATTTTGGTTCCCCTTGTTTCCACAGTGTGTGAATGGCTAGAAGGTAGAAACTATATATTAGATGCTTTTTGCAATCCTGCTATTTCTGCTACAGTTTTAGGTGACATATTAAGTAGTCAGTCCTCCTTAACCTCCTGTCCTTGATCACTAATTTCTCCATAACTAACATAGATCTTTTAAAAATATAAATGGAATTTACTATGCATGTGTGTATGTGTGCACATACATAAAATATTTTGGTGCTTCTAAACTTATATATTGCATGTATTCTTCTGAATAACTTAAAATTATTGCACATAATGTTTGTGAGAGCTGCATTTATATACTAAGCTAATTTTATTTTTCCCAAGTGAATAGCAATTTTCTATAATAATTATTTACCTTTTTCATAGACAATGTCATGCCAACCTAAGAAAACTCAAATTGTAAAATATTCCATTCAATTACAGATAACCTTTCTTCTCACTTAAAACTACTTAGAATAGTTAGAAGAGAATAGTTAGGCATTTATAGAAATTCTACCTTTTTAAAATAAATTGTATTATAATTCATTTATAATTTATATGAGTTTATATCAGAATTCTCTAATTATTTTTAAAATGTTTTATATATCTGTCTCAATAACTCCTTTATTTATTACATGTGGTGTGTTATATTTTTATGGTTTGAGCTTAGAAAAATTTATACAACTTTCCAAATTCCACCAGAAAGTGATTGCTCACCATTTTAAGATTTTTTGTCTGTCAGTGAAGATCGACATTTTCTTTTTTCATATAGAACTTTCATCTTTTCTTCTGAGAATTGTTCCTCACTATTTCATAGTTTGGCTGGATTCCATGGTTATTTTTATTCAAAACTTTTTGGTTATTAATTTCTTTCTTTTGGGGGGGGGCAAAAGAAGCTTTCTTTCTTTTTCTTTTTCTTTTTTATTTATTATACTATAAGTTCCGGGATACATGTGCAGAACGTGCAAATTCTACAAAGAACTTAAACAAATTTACAAGAAAGAAACAAATAACTCCATCAGAAAGTGAGCAAAGGATATAAACAGAAACTTCTCAAAAGAAGACATTTATGCAGCCAACAGACATATGGTTATTAATTTCTAAAGAAGCTATTGTCTTGACTTTTTTCTTTTCTTAAAGTAAGAAATCAGTTAAAAGGAAATTTCCCTTTGAATTTTTATAGTGTGTATATTTGTTGTTTATTTTGTTCATAGAGTCACATTCTAATTTTTAGTTGTGTTTTTGCCACAAAATCTGAAAATTGTAGTTTCTTCAGGATATGTTGCATTTTTTGTGGCATGAAACATGGCCAATTTTCATGAATATTTTATGATTTATTTTAAAAATTAAAACTTTCTGTTAGTTAATGTTTTAGATGTGTTCTTAATCTGATTTAGGGGAAATGTAAGTTTTTCTATTAAACATGAATTATCATTTACCATTTTCTCATTTCATCTATATTAGTGTCTGCTCTCTACATTATGAAACTACATTATAAGTGCACAAAAACTTTTTACTACCTTAGTTTTTTGAATCTTTTATTCTATTAAATTCGAATAGCATTTCTATTTTATTATCTTTATGTTTAATCTGTATTTCACTTTATTTCATGCATGTCTCCAGAAAATAGTGTATGCCAGAAATTTTTTATCCTAATGTAAATTTTCTTAATCAGAGAATTAATTCATATTCAGGTTTATTACTGTTACAATGCATTGGACTCAGCAATGACATCCTGTTTTATATTACTTATTCACTCTTTCCTGTTTTTGCTTTCTTTTTTCATTTTGTTTGATTGACCAAGGAATTTGAAGTAGTAACTTATTTTATTTGGATAATTTAGAATTCCTACAACTAATTCCTGCTCTTCTTAAAGTTACCATTAAATTATTAAACATAAAATTTTAAAATAGATTTTACATCAACATTCAAGGTTAATGATTTTTTACAGGCTAATTCCAAAAAAGACAATATTTTCCCCTTTTGCCTGCCCCCAATGCCCACCACCATTCCATGTTGAGATCAGCTATAACATTTGTTAATTAAAAAAATATAATGTTATGGAAATTACTTTGACATATACGATGGTTTGCTACTTTCATTATTCTCCACTATTCATTGTGTAGAGTGTATATATTCATAATTGGTAAATTTAAATGTGCATACATTTAAAATTTTTATGTAACTATACTTATTTTCTATCTCTAGGGTCCAGTTCTAGTTAATGTAAGGAACAATACTGTCACTTCCAGACAAACATGGTCAAATAAAATTTTGGATTTTTTTCCACCTGTTTCTTTACTGATAAATATTCATAACTGGGGCTAGCACAGTAATTGAATGTTATTAGAGAAAAGGGAGGAAAAAGATAGACTATATACTTCTAGATACTTGTGGCATACATAATTGCAAGATTGTCTTCATAATTTATGCATCAAATCTAAACTACTGCATAAAAATTAAGCCGTTCACATTGATAAAGCGATAACTAACAACAGGCAAGTGTATTTTTCCTATTTTTTTTCTATTCACTTCTCAACTGTAATGTAAAAATAGATTTCATATTCTTTTTCATTCTTTACTAAGGAGACACTATTTTTTTCAGAGATTCATTGAAAATAAATATTTACTAAGGATCTACAGCATTCATTTTTACTCTGTAAGACATGGTTGCTGCCTTCAAGATACTTAGATTTTGTTCAGTAAGATAAGGGATAAGACTGAAAAGTCAATGAACAAGGGCTTAAGTAATATTTTGGAACATCAATGAAAGAACTCATGTGAACATTCATAATTTACTGTGACACTGTTATTTACACAGAGGGTGTCTATTAGTGGAGTTCAAAAGAGGGCAAGACCATTGGCCTTTACAAAGAATAAGTATTAAAGGAAAAATTCTTAACTGCTGCTTGAAATATATCAAGGATGACTGGGGATTTTTTAGATGAGGGAGTTGAGATAGTAAAGTAAAGATAAAATAATTCAAGAGATTAAAAAAGTCCATAATTCTCAGTGTAAAATTATCTTTTAAAGACATCTTTCTAAACATAGAGATTGCTAATTACACACAGCCCTCCTTAGAGACACATAGTATCAACCTGACTGCTCCTGTCAGATTAAATCACAGTGGGTACTTTACAATCATCTATGTAGGTAACCAAAATGGTAGTACAGTAAAAGCTGCATTTACTTTAGGGTGGTGCTGGTTTGAGAGAAGTGTAGCAGAGATATGATTTAGTCTAAATACTCAGAAAATTAATGCACCCCTGCTACTCTACCAACTGACTTTGAATTTAATGAGAATGTGTATGCATACAGATTTAAAGGCTATGCATTATGAATTTTTGTCTTTGTGAACTAAAATTAACAGGATCAAAGTCTTAAATTCCCAAGTTGAAAACCTCCTACTGAATTTCAGATAACAAACAATATTTTTCCCAATCCTTTTTCTGATGAAAACTTCTCTTTGGAAAGAATAATGTTTCTTATCCAAAATATAGGCTGACAACTGGCCTAATTAATCACAAATGACAGAGAAGAGAAATAAAATAAATTATAAATATTTAATGTCTTTCATATCTTATTTGAAAGATTTAACCATCGCACTTCATTAAAATATAAACAGTTAGTGGGAGAGGAACCAAATGCTGATGTAAACTTGAATAACTAAAATATAGGATATCAACAAATACCTGCATATTGATGTAGAAATGGAATGAACACTTTTTTTTGTAATGACAAATCAAACTTCTTTAAAGCTGAAGATAAATTAAAGAGCCAAAGGTTTCCAAAAAATGTAGCATTAGCTGTTCTAGTGATCTTAAGTATTTCTTTTTACTTAAGAAAAATTACTTTAACTGCAGTAATATATGTTATGTAAAGGCATATCATTAATCTAGTGAAAACAAAACAAACGAAAAGCACAGAAAGTGTATTTACCTTTATGAGAAATTTTCAAAGCAACTCAAAAGTAACACCTATTGGAAGTAAAAATTAATGAATGGAATATGGCACTAAGCTAATAAGTTCATATTAGGCCATCAAAGTAGTTTAGAAGTGAAGTATTTTTAGTTCTCTAATCCATTAATTTGACAAATGGTTTAATAGCTGAAAAGAGAAATCTCCCGGACAGTATCAGCTAACCCAAAAATCAAATGTAAGATCTGCATAAAGGAGAAAGGGGTGAAAGATATCATTCTAATATAATTATTCTTAGTAGTCTTACCCAACACTAATCAATCTTTACAAAACAGTATTTTTTATGTTGAAGACTGCATTACAATTCTCATACATCTAATGTTTACCATTTTAACATTTACCAGTTTTTATAGTCTTAATTTTTTTAGAATAGCCATTTAAATTTAATAATTCTTATTTTTTTTGCAACATGCAATAGAGAAACAGGAAAGTTAGCACAAATGTATCAGATATTTTGCAATTGCTTATATTGGCAAAAAGGGCAAATATAATAAAGTATTTATAAAAAGAAATACATTCCTAATATTACGTATTTTTATTTTAAGAAGAAGAGCTGCATTTCAAGTATTTTTGGCATTTTGAAGCAGTGGATAATGCCTGCATTGGCTCCATATTCTGATTGGAGATACAGCTGGTACCTTGACTGACTTAGATAATATAGGTCAGCTAGGGAGTTAAATCCCAGTGGGGGCTAACTGGTGATCACAAAAAGCTGTGTTCCAAACCCTGGAAACTAGGAATGTTACCTTATAAGGCAAAAGAGTGAATAATATTTTATGTGGCAGAAAATGTATAATGAAATACAATAAAGCAGATTGAGACAAGGGAATTATCCAGTGGCCCCAAGTATATGCATGGATTTCTTTCTAAGAGGGATGCTAAGCAAGCTTTGAGACAAACACACAGAATAGAACACACACAGAAAAGGAACAGACAATGTGACTACAGAGCCAGAGACTAGGGTGCAACAAGTCAAGAAATGCCAACTACCAGAAGCTGGAAGAGGTAAAGAACAGATTATTCTTCAGAGCCTCTGTAGGGAGTGCCACCTTGCTGATGTCTTGATTTTGGACTTCTGATCTTAAGCCACCTTGTTTGTACCAATTTGTTATGGTAGCCACAGGAAGCTGATTGATACACATCCTTTTTGTTTTTTTCTTTTGTCTGTCTAAACTAATATACCCTTGTGTCCTGTGGTTTGAACTCAAGCTGCCATCATCTCAAGATGGGGAAGGGAGAGGACATCTGACCCAAGCTATACCAATAATAGTATTCTTCCCTCGCTCATGCAGCCATAGTCGATTAGGCGACCTGCTTAAATTTGAGATCCTCTAATATAAGATTCTTACATTATTCATCTTTCATTTATTGTTGCATCTCTAGAAGTTAGTTATGCCAGCCATATAGTAGGTATTTAATAAAAATTTGATGAACAAATTATTTGTCTAAATTAGTTTTTCTTCAGTGTGAATTCTGGCTTTGACAAATTATTGGAAGGTCTTTTAAAAGACCTCAAAAAGTAAACATAGACATTTAAGGGGATCCCAAGTCCAGAGGTCTGAATTTCCTCTGTCTGGGCACTTTATTTTTTATCAGCTTTATTGGACAAAACAGGAGACACTAATCCAAAGTTGGAAATTGGGATAGATCACATTTTGAAAACATTGTCTCTAAAGCCTGTAATCTCAGCACTTTGGGAGGCTGAGGTGGGCGGATTGCTTGAGCCCAGGAGATACAGACAAGCCTGGGCAACATGCAAAACTCCGTCTCTACTTAAAAAAAAAAAAAAAGAAAAATACAAAAAGTTAGGCGGGCATGGTGACTCACGCCTGTAGTCCCAGCTACTCAGGAGATGGAGGTGCGACAGTCAATCGAGCCTAGGAGACAGAGGTTACAGTGAGCCGAGATAGTGCCATTGCACTCTAGCGTAGGTGACAGAACAAGACCCTGTCTCAAGAAAAAACAAACAAATAACAACAAAAAAATTGTCTCGTAATATTTAATATTATTTTTCTAAAACTCTTGAGTAAGTTGATTTCTGGGGAGCAGGAGATGGGCTAAAAGAGGTAAGATATAACAAGCTGGAAGAAAAAGATAACTTTTGTTTTCAGTCTTAATATCTTCAGGGTTCAGTTTCACAATACTCTCAATATTAGATATTCATATTTACCCTTAGCAATTGAAATTGCAATTTTACAGAAAATCGAAATAAGCCATAGTATTTGTTGAATAGTTCATATATAAGTGAAGTATGTTTTCTGAATTGAAAATAACCTTTCCATTAATGCAGATTATGTATCATCTTCTAATTTTATACACGTTAGTTATCAGAACACTTAGGTAACATATTAAATTCAAAATTACACGGCAAACCTGATTTTTTTTTAACAGACCGTGTTCCTGGGTTGATGCATACTTAATAGACTCCAATACTTTTAACAGGGTTCAGAGTTAGACACTGAGTTTTGTCTCATGTATCCTCACCTTAACTATCCGTGGTACTAAATTTAGAACACAGATGGACTTAATTACAAAGGCCGTTACATCTTATTTAAATTTACATTCCTTTTTCATGAAAAATTTATATGTAAAGGCAGGTAAAATGTGATATTCTAAATCAATCATATCAAGGCAAATGGTAAAATTACATCATCCACATTTTTTGCAACGATTTCATCTTGGACTTAAGAATACATTGTTTAAATATCTGAGGAGTGATCGTTTTGAAATTTAGGGAATCTATTTTCTTCCTCCAATAAGATTTGGCTTTATAAACTCTGGGGTGAAGGGCAGGGGAGTCTGATTGAATATCAGAGAATGTCTTAAAAACAAAACATCATGAACAACAAAACCAAAAACCACATAATCTTCCAAAACCACATTAAGTATATCATCTTATAGGAAAAGAATTACATGTATGATTTTCTAATTTCTCACACAGGCCTCATTAGCATGTACATGTTATCAAAAACAATAAATTAATAGCAGTAAAATTTTTATCTCAAATAACCTATATTGATTGAGTTACACATATTGTGCAGCATCTATCTCACGTTTCCTATAAAGGAGAGGGAAGAACAGAACTGTAAGAAATACCAGCAAGCTACATATCAGAAAACGAATTCCATACTGTACTTTTTATTAATGCAAGTACAAATTAAGGAAACATTATTAGCCACACACAACTCATGCTTTTATCTTCCATGTTAATTACTATTCCTTTACGATTCAATTCAGTGAGTAAATTTTTATAGATTATTTGCCATATAAAGTAATATATTTCTACTCCATTAGGATAATGGTTGGCAAAGAAAGTAAAATATGGTGGAATATTCTATCAACATAAGGGTTCTGCCCCAAACAGTTAAACGCAATATTTATTTTGTGCACTTACTTTACAAATATCTTCTATCACTTATTTTACACATATTGAGTAAACTGCAGTGGGTTTGGGGAGTGAAAGACAACAAAATACTTTTAAAGTCTGAACCTAAATGGTAAATTATAGCTGTAATCTTCAACATCATCTTCCGAAAAAAATTTTAGTGCTATATTCTTTCTAGTTTGAACTCCAAACTTCTCACAAATTCCTTTATGCATGGAATATGTACTAATAGTGCTTCCCCAATTGTTTTACTTTCAGGCATTATTTTTCTTTTTCTCAGAATTCCTGAACTCTGGATGATGCTAATAGGTTAGTTTTTATCTTTTTTTGACTGATTTGCCATCTGATTTGGTGTTTGATATATTTCTCTTCTCTTTTTTTCATTGAAAGCAGCACTCGTTTAGTTTAGTTTAGTTTAGTTTAGTTTTTTAGGTTAGTTTAGTGTTGTTTCTGAGATACAGTGTCTGTTGCCCCGGCTGGAGTGCAGTGGCACAATCCCGGCTCACTGCAAACTCCGTTTCTCAGGCTCAAGCAGTCCTCTTACATCAGCCCCTCTAGTCGCTGAGACTGCACGTTCCCGCCAGGATGCCTGGCTAATTTTTTTACATTTATTTGGTAAAGACAGGGTTTCCCCATCTTATCCAGGCTGTTCTTGAACTCCTGGGCTCAAGCAATCCTCTCGTCTCAGCCTCCTAAACTGTTGGGATTATAGGCGTGAGCCATGGCACCTGCCTTTTCTCTTAAAGAGTATTCTCTTGTTCTCTTGCTTTGAAGGTGTATATGGTCTTTTTTTTTTCCTCTGAGTGACCTAATTTTTGCCCTAATCCTTTAGTTATGTGTTTGTTTCTTTCCATATGTGAGGTGTTGACTTAGACAAATTTACTGTCATTTCAATGTCTACTAAATTCAATTTCTTCCATTGGTCATGAAAAATAATACATCTTCTGCTAAGTAGGACCATGCTTGATGTTGTATTTGAAGTAGATTGAGAATAATCAGTTTTTCATATTTTCCAAATCCACATTTTCCTTAGAGAAAAAGCAAGGAGAATCAATATACTGCAGAGTTTTTGTGAAGTGGAGTCCTTGGCTTCTCCAGACAGTGGCCTGAGTCACCATGAATGAAGAGCACTCTTGTGTTAGGTCTACTAAGCCCTCAAGATTCACTTTTGTGGATCTGAAACATAAGTGTTTTTCTTTAGTAAAATGAAAAAGCTAAAAAAAAGCTTTTATACTTACAGATTTTGCTTCAGTAAATGTGTATCTTGAAATTGAGAATTTGACAGGGCTGGATAATCTAGCTCGCATCTTCAGGTAATTTCAAATTAGAAGTTTTAATTGTATGAGCCTTGTACTTTAAACATTCTTGTTTCAAATATATTTTAAAATCAAATGCTTTGGTAACTGGGGTCAAAGGCTGAGTAATAACAGTTTATGAAGTCAAAGCCAGTTCTCTTTTTTGAAGTAGAATCCTGAAAATCATTGTATGTGTGTGTGTGTGTGTTTAATTTTTAAGGAACAAGATGATAATCCATATGTAATCCTGACATATACTTAAAACTACAGAATAAGGGTAAATCAGTTATATTATTTTGAGCAAACAAAATATAACAGAATAAAATATAAAACGTATATGCTCTGTTTTTCAGTATTCATATTTTCAGCACAGTTGAAACAAAAGATGTCAATATAAAAAGTTTTTTCTTAGGCTTTGTAACTAGTCCCTCCGTTAATTAGAGAACAAAATGTACAACATCTCATGTATTTTTGGCTTGGTAGTTGTTACTAATATGCTATATTTTCTGAATTTATGTAAAATTGTTCTTAGTAAATGGATTACCTTTTCTGGTTACTGGCAGAACCAATTGAAGTTGATGACAGATTTTCTTAATGAAGTCATTGATGAAAATTGCATACTAGGAAATTTCCAATAAATCTATTGAAAGTGCTTATTTTAAATGACTAAAAATTTTATATATTTTTAAAATGTCTTAAGTGTCTTTGGATTTTGGAATTCTCACAAATGTTACTGTGGAAATGCTATTCTGATTGGATTATATTAAATAAATTTATTATAGGGCAAACCAACATGAAGTTGAATAAAGCAGAGGGGGAATTAACCAACTGATGATGTTTTTTTCCCTGTATGGAAAAGTTGAAAAGCTTAACCCTCTAGAGTAGCTTACACATCTCAGCTGGAGAATTGGAAAAATAAACTAAAAATAAAATCTAAGCCCTCCTATTCACTGAACAAACTGCCTTGTGGCCAAGGGGACCCCAGAAAAGCCTTAAAACTGAATTCTCAGCAATAATGAGATGGGAGGTCAGACAAGCCCCCTAATACCCTCTTCCTTTGGCATTTAGACACAATGACTGGCCCTCATTAATGTTAAAATAGAGATTATAAGACTGACAGAAGATACTCTTTGTAACAATAAGATACCAAATTATAAACAGGGTGTGAGGCCATGCCAGGCAAAGGTTAAGTCACACACTCCTACATTTAAAGAATAAACTATATTCTAACTCCTTAAGGCTTCTCTTTTCTTTTTTTTCTTTTTCTAGAAGCTAAACAACACTGGCCTCAAAATAAACAGTATTAAAATGATTACAACTCACTCAGCTTACAAAGGCTGACTAATTGACCCTCTGTTCTGCCAGCCATAATTACAGACAAGAAACTGATTTTGGTAACTCTCTCCAGATAGGAAGAATACCCACCATGGATTGGTTCTGGCCGGGTTTACAGAGGCTGACACTTGGGTGACTTCGTGTCCTGAAAAATCCTTTTGACATATAGGGCCTAATTGTAGTATATTTAAATGTTAAGTCTCCACTCCAAGGTTAACATGGATGTATGAGGCATGGATGTTTCATTCAAAATGCATGCCTCAGGACCACCATCATGAATATTTATAGCTCCTCTTATAACCTGTTGAATATGTATGTTTAGCCAACCTGTTCAGCATAAGCTTCTACCCCAACTCCTGCTCCTTCAAAGTGTCTGTCTTCGGTCTTCACCGGAGACACACTTCCCAGCCTACAGTTTGGCCACCTGTAGGCTGTAAACCTTCACAAGAAATAAAATCTCCTTTCTCAATTTATAAATTATTATTTTTTTAAAGTTAACAAGAATCACACAGATGACAGTATAGAATTATCTGACTCCTGAAGGGAAGCAGAGATCCTGTATGGTCAGTAAATCTACAACATGGGATTTAAATCAGCACTATTGATCATCTAAAGATCAGCAGCAGTCATAAATTTGTCAAATACTCTTTCTATCAAATATCCTTCAAAAAATTTGTAATTAATTAGACACTAGCACCAAAATTGTTCTATTTGTGTCTTCTAAGACAATTTGTAATAACAACAACAACAAACAAATTAATAGGTCTCCTCTTTTTGTGGAGAGTTTCCAGAGAAACTGATATATAGCGTGGTATTGTAAATTAATATAGTCTTTTCAGAAAGTTACTTGTGGCAATACAAAGAAGTCATATTCTTATACTAGCTATTGTTTCTGAGTTTTCTTAAAGAGTTAATTAAACAGAAGAAAACAGAAATCTACATGAAGATATTCTTATCAATGCTATCTATAAGGTCAGAGATTAATGTTTAATTCAAAATTAATGTTTTGAATATCTAATTATATAGATTAGCTTTGTAAATGATGTTATGTCAGTATTATTATTATCATAATTATCACTATTATTCTGATTCATTCATTTAAAGGGATGATAACTGTTTACAAGCATGGAAAAATATTTATGGTATAATCCTAGGTAGAAAAAAGGAGAATGCAAGTTATATTGATTCATTATTTTGACAAATATTTATTATGTCTACCATGTGGCTAGTCACACATTTTTTTAAAAAAAGTGGTAGGCAAAATGTATGAAATCCCTAACTTTATGGAGCTTTTACACTTGTGGTGGATGCATATGTAAAAAAAGTGACCACACTGAGTTAATCCATTACAAGAGAACTGAGTGGTACTGAGGAAAGAGACAGGACCTCTGGAGTGGATATAACAGGAGAATCTAAATGAGCCTAGGATGAAAAAAACTTCGTGGGAAAGGTGCCTGGAGAATGAATAGGAGTTATTCAGATGAAGAAGTATGGAAAGTGTTCCAAGTAGAAGAAAAGTCATGGGCAAAGGCCCTGTAAAAGTTATAACTTCAGGAATTTTGAGGGTCAGAAGAATGCCAAAATGACTGTATAATAGACAGTCAGGGAGGACTGCTGTTACCCCAGGTAAAGCTAGATCAAGCAAGATCTTTTACGTAACATGTTAGGAGATTAGTATCTAAATAATAGTGGCAATGGAAGTATCTTAAGCAAGTATATGCATTATGATTCTACCTCTGTAAAACAATAAATGAATATATATATAGACTATATATATAGTCTATATATATATAGTCTCTCTATATATATATATATATAGTCTCTCTCTCTGTATATAGTCTCTCTCTCTATATATACACATAGTCAAGGGGTTGAAGTGAAATTAGCAATGACTCTAAAGGCAAAGGCAGAATTTGGGTTAATTTCTTTTTATAAGAGAAAACTAAATTATTATATATGATGCCACATCAACTCTTCAATTACATTTATATTTGAATGAAAAAATCTGGTTTTCTAAACGCATATTAAGTAATTTTAAAGTTCTTTAATGTCATTTTTAGGACATTAAACATTATGAGAAATTCTAACAAATAACGGTTTCTAAAAAATAATTCCTAAGCCTTATAGTCGATTTCTTCAGTTGTAATAAAACGTTTCTCTAAAAAGTATGTATTTGTGTTTTTAATGTAAAGTATAAGCATGAAAGATTTGAAAAGTCTAAAGGAACTTTGAGATCAAAGCTTTGTTTATAGGATTTATAATACTCAGTTGAGGATAAGAATTACAGTTACATTACTATGGTACTATTGTACAGTTGTACATACTAATATTAATTTATATGATGATAACTATGAAAATGTATAACTATTATGCCGTTATATGTACTACTGTGAATTTGAGCTATGCAGACTGCAGTGAGACTATTTTTTGTTACATTGTATTCTCTTAAAAATTTAAAGATGCTAAAGATATTTTTCATGTATATGAAATGAATTATTTTTATTTCATTTTAAAATATAAGCAGTAGAACACTTTGCTTTAACAAATACTAATTTATTTTATGAATTTAATAAAATGTTAAAGTAACTTTTATAGTTTTTAAACCATAGAAAGTTTCTGGCATTTTAGGGAGACTAATTTTCTCTATATATTTAAAGCAATGGTGTTGTCACATCGCACAAGAAATTTTATTACACAGGTATAAAAATATAAATGCATCAGTAAACTAACCTAAAAGTTAATGGCATAAGAAAATGAGGATGGGAATTTGTGTAGTGTCTATCAAGCATTTGTCAGGATTTCATAATCAAATAAGAAATGTTGCTATTTGTGGCTATGCAAATAACATCATATCTCACTATCCTGTTGTATTTGCAAAATGATATCAGTGTTGTACATGTATACATAATACAAGACTATGGAACAAGAATTTGGCTCATTATGTTTGAAGTTATATAAATTCAGATTTCATTTCTCAGTTTTCCAGAGAGATGACAAATATGCCTAGCAATCCTCTATTTAATTATTTTAGAGAAAGAGATTTTAAAAAATATTTTAAACAAAAGTACTAAAGATTACTTTTCCTGCACTGTAGATATGTGCTTGATTCCCTTGATTAGTGAGAATTATTTGTGCATGTTAAAGGAAGTCTATAACCTAAGCCTTAATTTCAAACCTTTCCTAAAAACACTTTTTGAAAGCTTAACTAGAGTGGCTACATGCTTTTCACCCACGCTTATGTTCAAACACTTTCAAGGGGACCGCACTTACTTTAAAAACCTAAAATCACAGAAGCATGTTACATTAGCCAAGTTCAATAAAAGACAACCACAAATGGAATGCAAAATATCTTTTCGATCTTTCTGTAATCACTTCAATAGTAAGACAGCCACCTGGGGCTGAATGTGTATCACCAGTCATTTCAATAATGCAATTATTTGAAAAATATAACTACTGGAAAATGCTGTTGGCATAAAATGCCAAATATGTATGTACATGTGTATACTGTGCAAGTATACATATGTATATAAGTAGAATTCAGAATCTCAATACCTGTGGGAGCAAGTAAGTATAAGCTAAATACAATAGAAAAAATGAAGACTGAAGTGCATATCATCTATGCATTATTCATACTTGAAAAATCTTATAATCAGGAATAATAGTTATTGAAGTGAGATTCAGGTTTATGGCAACATTTAGCTCTCTGTAGATAAAATCTCTATCACCTTTAGAGGGTGGATGACATTTCAATATCCCCTAAATGGTGCTATGTAATCTCGCCTCTCTCTTCCTCATTTCTAGTGGTTTACTTCCCCCCCACCCTTTTTTTTGTTTTTACATTAAATGCAATGAGACGTACTTAATGTCCTTGTAGGCTCATCTTTCTCTACAGAGACAGTTGGAAAATGCCATGAGTATCTTGGGAAATACCAATAGTGGCAGACAGCATTGCCCCCTTCCTTATTCACATTTTCAGGGAAGCTTGATACTGATTAGCCAGAAGTTATATATTAAAGCATCTATTATATGCCTCTTATTGTGCTCACCACTGAGAACAATAGAAATAAGAAAAATGGTTTCTACTATATGCTATTTATTTTTAGCAAATGAATGTGCATAAAATAATGACCAACGAAGTATTAACTGGGTAATAAAAAGGACACATACAATAAAAGTTTGACAATTAGGGAGACGATTGTGGGTTATAGTAGCCATGAAATAATTAATGAACTAGATGTGTCCTCTGAAATAGTTAGGAGGAAACAGAGTGAGTAAAGGAAGGAAGATGGCATTGGTGAGTGACAATGGAGTGATAAGTCTTTTGAAACAAAGCTTATATTGGGGAGCACCATATTATAGGAAACAAAAAGAAAGGTAGAGGCTTGAATTGCAAGGGTGTTTGGGGGAAAATTGGAAGCCAGTGAAATTCTAGTGAGGTAGTGATTACTAAGTGTTTTCCTATCATTAATCTAGGAGTGTAAGAGAAAATATAACTGAAGCTGGAAACAAAAAATAAATAAATAAAGAGACCACCATAATAATCTTGGCATGAAACAGTGAGATCCTGGCCTCAGGTGGAATTAATGGAAATTGCCAAAATAAGGGAAAAATATAACCTTGATTAACAGGAACAAAATTGTTTGCCTACGTGTTCAGGTCATACTAAGCAAAATAAACTTGTTCCTTATTTTATTTTTAAACTCTAATTTTGATTCAGAAACATGAGGATATAAATCCATAGCAGTTTTTTGAAAAAAATGTCAAGAACAAATCTTTAAGAATTATCAAGAGTGACTTAAGCAATATTGATGTAGAGATAATATTGTCACAAAATCTAACTGTGGTGCAACGTTTGCTTTTCTGCCTGAGCTGATTATTAGGCATAAACAATCAAGAGCAAGTCCTTTTGGTTAAAGGTGATTTTGGGGGATTTTTTGTGTGGATGCTAAAAAAATTATATTCAAGGATGGAAACTCTTTAGGTAAGATAGAAGAAATATTACAGAATAAAAAAATTAAAGCATAAAAAAGAATGCAAACATGAAAAGGAAAAGGAGAAGTAGAGCATTAAAGCCAGGAAAACGATGTAGTTTTTACTAAAATTTGGAGATTTGGAGTATTGTGAGAATTTAGAACAGAAAGAGAAGTGAACTAGTAGAAAAACTAGATGTATCCTTGTCTGTATTCAAGAAACTTGGGTGAACAAGGGTAAAATCAACTGCTCATTAGTGAATTAAGATTCCTGCACTAGTTGATTTCTAATTGTCTCATTTTAATTAAGATTTTACACTGCAAGAAACTGAGATGCATGCAGGTTAGTTCAGTTAATGGATTGAAAATAACGAAACAAAACAGAAACATTTCCAGGAAAGCAAGAGAGACTGGAAAAGTCTCAAAAGACCTATAGTAAGTCTCATGAGGAAAGGAAAAATCACTCATTCACCTTTTAAAATACAATAGAAATCTTAGCAGTCCAAAGCATGCTGTCACCTCTAAAACCTTTTAGTGGGTTGATAAGATTGTGAGTTCTCTATATCTGCTTCTGTGTCTACCTTTTGCACCTGATTATCAACTAACTTCTGTAAGTATTTTTTCTAGGTGAGGAACTCTGCCTAATCACACATCTACTCTTATAGTTTCAATTCCCTGATGATTGATTTTTGTGTATTTTTATTAATATCCTGGTGTGTCGTCCCTTCTCTGGCCTCACGTTCTGCTCTGGCTTCTTCTTTTGGTATTCCTTAAATGGTTTTGTCAGTAATCAAAAAGGACACCTGTTAAATCTGGTGTACCTCACAAGTCAATAGGTAGTGTACGGGTATGAATTCTTATTATTGTGATCTGAGTAGAGGGACTATGTTCTCCAGAGCATGGCAAACAATCTGTGTTAACTCTTCAACAGAGGTTTGCGAGCATGACATGCAACATGACATTTATTAAAAATAAGTAAAATAAAAAATTGTAGTTACAATGAACAAGGCCATGATACAATCTGTTTCATATGGGCTCTCTTGATTTTTTTTTCAAAATGAAAAGCAATAAAAATCATCATTAATTAGGCATTTATAATTTTTTAGACAGTATGTTAAATGCTTCAATGTATACCATCTGCAATTTTTATAGCAACCCATGCTAATTTATTTTACTCGTGCCATATAAGAAATGCAGAAATAGTTTCAGAGTTGTTCTCTGAGGTGCCCAAGGCAAAATAATTGATATTAGATAGCTGAGATTTGACAAACCATGTCTCTGACTCTAAAGGTCTACTATCTCATTTCTCTTCCAACCGCCCCCCGGCCTTCATCTTTCCTTTTTTTTATTATGGTTTTAAAGATGTTAAAATCTATTACCTACCCTAAGGAAATAATGTGACGTTTGGTGACAAGAAAGCTACTAAGATTTATGGAGGTAGTTGGGGGTAACCAGGCATTATAAATCATCTTTGAACCCACTCCTGGAAATAGCGGACAACCTAACAGAATTCATCTGTTTTACTGTTTAGTGACACCCCTATTTTATGGAGAAAATGATACAGTCAGAAGACCTCATGGATATTTTTGGTAGTAATCTCAAAGATGTGGGTAACAGCTGGCATTTCGGTACCATTTCTTTGGGTACCAGTTGACGAAGGAAGAGTGGTACATACATTTAGCACATATCTCATTCTTTTAAGATAAAGATAAGGTTGTTAATGAATATATTTAAAAAAATAAAGACAGGAGACAAAGCTGAGTATGACAATGTGGAGATAATGATATTTTATGGATAAAAAAGGTTCACTGAGATTAAGAACAAACTGATTCAGGAGTGGAAAAAGGTGGAGGAAAAATTCAAGAAGACTTGTTAATCAATTAGGTCATATACTTAAGATTTGGGGTAGAACTAAGGATAATTTAATGATACAATACTAATTTAAATGACACAATACCTTATATTCAGATATTTTATAAAACAATATTAATAGAATAGACTAGAAGAATAGTATTTTCATTTGTATGAAAATAAGATGTTAAGGCTTCAATTGATTATAGAGAACATTAACTGTTGTTTTAAGGTAAATACAACTCTAAGTAGTGTTAATTAATCTAGGTCACTATAAATAATGGTCCCAATCTTCTCAGTGACAAAGTCATCTTAGAATAATTCATTGTAAGTTTCTTATTTCAAAGGGGAATATAAATGAGATGTCAAGAGTTCTGAAAAGAATACATTAGAAGGAAGATCGAAGAAATTCAAGATGTTTGTTCTGGGGAAGAAGACAAGTAAGTGATATGGTAGGAAGACAGAGCACTTGTCTTCTAACACTTATTTATTGAACATCTATCTACCTTGTGATAGGATTTAATGAACAAGGCAGCCAACATCCTGAATTGATTAAGGTCCACCATGATCTCATTTTAACTTAATTGCTTCTTTAAACTTTCTATCTCCAAAAGCACTCACATTCTGAGAACCGAGGTTTAGGATTTCAACGTATGAATTTTGGGGTGACACAATTCAGCCCATAACAGTAGCCACATGAAGAATTTGCAATAATATTCCAGAAAGTAAGAACATCCCCGAGAAATGAATATGCTTGATATGTCAAAGAATAGCATAAAGGCTGCTCTGGCCCAACTATAGCAGGAAAAATGACAGATAATGCAATTGAATTGATGGTCAGGGCCCAGATCACATTGGGCCTTAGAGGAAAGAGCCAGCATTTCACTTTCTTCTCGATGGGAAGCAAGCATAGGGGTAGAAGTCGGGCATAATCTGACTTATGCATTAACGGGCACTCTGACTTCTCTATGAACAATAAAGTATAGGCGAAAGTATTATCAGTCAGAAGTTGCTGCAGTAAGTAATCCAGATAGAAAAAGATGCAAAGATACTGGCTCGGACTAAGCAGCTGTAAATTTGGTGAGAAGTGGCCAGATTAGAGATTTTTTTTTAAGGTAAAACCAACAAGACATATGTTAGATTAGATGTCAAATAGAAAGCTAATGGAAGAATTAAGAGTAATTATTCACTTTGCCTCAGTTCTTAAATTGGAAAACAGAAGAAATACCCTAGATTACTGTAGAAAATTTAATAAGGACTGGTATGGAACTCATTTACAAGTAGATCTAATCACAGTTTAGGAAAAAATTTTTAACTCAAATTGTCCAGTATTGGAGTGAATTACCTCATGGGAAAATAAGTATCTGTCAGTCAAGTTGAGCAAGATGGGGGATGGGATGTAATCCAATTGTATTCATTGTTAATAAGTATGGTTGAAAGAAATCTCTCCAGAGGTAATACTCACGATAACATACAGGATGATTTCACTATTATAAGCTATTGACATCAATACTTTAGGGACCATTTTCAATGGATAAATATCAATGCAATTGAACAGCAGAAGATCAAAATTTTAATTTGTATATAACAGGAAAATATTTCCATTAAAACATTGTTAGGTAAATTTGTATTTTCTATCAGTGTGAGGAGAGAAAGTTTATTTGTTGGAATAATATTAATGGTAAATTATTTATTGAGGGTTCTGAGACGCTATATTTGATAATATCTTATTATACTTTAATCATTGCTTAAAAAAAAGTTGCACTATGCAACTGCATAGGTTCAGTTAATTTCACAAGGGAATGTTTGTTCTACTCAAAGGTGTACCTCACTTCTCCTCATTTCCTTCAGAACAATAAATAAGCCAGGGCATAAGTTATCTTGAGAACAAAATAATAGCATGGGCTAAAGAAGAAAACCACCTTCATACTGAAAAAATTGCATGACCTTGCTAATACACACTGAAGTGAACTAGGAAAATATATGTGAGAGTGTATCAGGGATTTTGAGCAGGAAGGAGAATATAAGACAGGACAAGTGAAAATGTATTATTTGAAAAAGCACTTTTCCATTTCTTATGCCATAAGGACATCTGGAGCTGCTCTTAATACACCACTGGAATGTTTTTTTGAAGCTTATACCTGATGATAGACTATGGCAAATTAGAGGAGATGCATAAACTACCTTGACAAAATGTTAAGGATAGAGTCAGAAAATGCAGAGATATAGGAATGTTAGAATGAATTTATTATGTGAATGAAGAACCATCATCACTCTACCAAATTTCTCAAGGGCATAAATAAAACTCCTTTCACCAAAACATTAAGAACTGCACTGGTAATGAGGCTATTGGCATCATTGAGAAGGAGAGAGTGGCTGATTTCTAGAAACTGGGGTTAAGAGTAGGAGAAGCTGACATTTTCTTACTATCATTAGGGCCAGTGGAACTCCAGAATGTTCATGGTCAAGTAGTACTAATTCATCCAACAGAGATAAAGTAGACTTAATCACCATAATGAACTTCATGGCCAAAATGGCAGTCAAACTGCCTTGAAATACAGGAATCTGTGGTGATGACTAATGGGTCATGATGTTCCTAGTGGTAAGAGAGACGAATAGCTGCCTAAATTGATTTTGACTTGCATAACTAGAAAAAAATCACAAACTAGAAAAAAGGCAGACAAGTCACCAAAACAGAAAACTGCAATTTTTCACCCAAGTTGTAGATCAAAGTAAGTTTGACTAACTACCTTCAAATAACTAGAAGAAAATGTTGCAGAATTATTACCAGGATACATGAATAACATTTTCTGATTATTTCCCAAGGGGATCGAATGCCATTTCCTAGTGTAGCTGGACACTGGGCAAAGGAAAAAAATGCAACTCTTTTATGAGCCTTTGAAGGAGAAATAGCCTGAAGAATGGGTACTCAAGACTTCCAGGAAGTTTGCAATGACTTGTCCTATTGTTCAGGGTCCGGCAAGGAACAAGATCCAAATGTTATAGATGACAAAAAATTCTGGGAGGGAGGCATTTTGGTAGGGATAGAACACATGGATCTTTGTATTTTATGTTAGTGCCCATTGAAGAGCAACTGTTTCAGAAGAGCTGCTTAGTAATGATGTGGACAACATGAAACATTCTGTGAATGTCAGCCAATCCTTATCCTTGACTATGCAGTACTGTTGCAATGGGGCCATGAAAAGATTAGCCACGGGAACAGAGACATATGAGAGAGAGGATGGCCAATACCAGGGGTTTCTTCTCGTCAAGCCAATGCTGAATGCCAAAACTGAGCCATTTTTTATTAGTGAAAAATGATATGTTTATAAACCAAGGGCTTGTGACATTAAATTAGATATGTTTCTATATTAGATTTTTTAAAAGGATGGTTTATACTGACTTTAAAAATAAATAGAGATCACTATGAGCTATTGTAGGTAATAAAAATGGAATTATAGCAAATAAAATGCATTGCTTTTATACTGATAAAATTAACAAAACAGTAGATGACCAGAAAGCAATATAATTATGTTATATGCATCTGGAAAGAGTATTTTCATGCTTTTCCTAATATTTTATGTAGATTCAAAATGATAATTTATTAGTCTAAAATGGATGTATAATTTCAATAGATGAGTCATTTTCAGTAACAAAATTGGATGCATCATATTCTAAGAGTTGACTGTGAAAAATGTGGTGATTATCACATTAAAAAATCACATTAACAGTAGAACTCAAGAGAGCCTAATTTATACAATGAAATAATGTTACATAGTTTTAAGTGATATGACAAAACTTGAGATAAAACAAGATTTAAAGTATTAAATAAAAATTAAGTAATAATTTTTAATAAAATGAGCCTAAAATTATCTTCTTATTTTAATTTTTATATCAGTATATATTTATATAACAGTTGGAGATGTGGCCTAAGTATCCAGAGGAAAAGACCCACTTCCAGAGCAAAATTCCTAAGAAGATAAGATTATAGGTATATTTTATTTACTAACATCTATTACTAAATTTCATAGACAGCAGTTACTCTAAACCCCATATTCTGAGAGGAGTGACAAACTCCCGTTTTCATTAAGTATTTTTCTTCCTTTTTTTTCTTTTTTTCTTGAAACAGAGTCTTGCTCTGTTGCAGTGCAGTGGCGCGATCTGCAACCTCCACCTCCTGGGTTTAAGTGATTCTTCTGCTTCAGCCTCCAGAGTAGCTGGGATTACAGGCGTCCGCCACGATGCCCGGCTAATTTTTTGTATTTTTAGTAGAGACAGGGTTTCACCATGTTGTCCAGGCTGGTCTCAAACTCCTGACGTCAGGTGATCCACCAGCCTCGGCCTCCCAAAGTGCTGGAATTACAGCGGTGAGCCACTATGCCCGGCCCCCTCCCACCATTCTTTTTTTTTTTTTTTTTTTTAATAGAAATAGGAGTCTTGCTATATTGCCACGGCTGAACTCAAACTCCTAAGTTTAAGCAATCCTCCCACCTCAGCCTTCCATGTAGCTAGGACTACAGGCATGCCCCACTGCATCTGGCTTTTCTTTTTAATAATATATTAAAGTGAATAAAACTGGGTTCCAGGAGTGTGTCAAAAGGAAATGCCATTTGAATAATGTCACTATAGTAATATTTCCTTTATTTGGTGGCATATCATGAATTAAATTGCTCACATTATTCAAATCTTATTCAAAAAAGATTTGAACATTGTTTTGCTATGTTTTACAATGCTAACAATTTATACAAGCTCAACTTTCCTGGGCCTCAGTCTTATGATTAAATATGTTACCTTTACAGAAAAAAATAGGTAAGAAACATAGGCAATATGTTTGTAACAAGAGAAAAAAATATATATATAAATATAAAGCAGATCACTTTTTAAATTTTATTATTTTTATTTTATTTTATTTTTTAATTATACTTTAAGTTCGAGGGTACATGTGCACAATGGGCAGATTTTTCCTGCCTCTGTAGACTCCACCTCTGGGGGCAGGGCATAGCTGAACAAAAGGCAGCAGAAACTTCTGCAGACTTAAACTTCCCAGTCTGACAGCTTTGAAGAGAGTAGTGGTTCTCCCAGCACGCAGCTTGAGATCTGAGAACGGACAGACTGCCTCCTCAAGTGGGTCCCTGACCCCTGAGTAGTCTAACTGGGAGACACCTCCCAGTAGGGGCTGACTGACACCTCATACAGCCAGGTGCCCCTCTGAGACGAAGCTTCCAGAGGAAGAATCAGGCAGCAACATTTGCCGTTCTGCAATATTTGCTGTTCTGCAGCCTCTGCTGGTGATACCCTGGGAAACAGGGTCTGGAGTGGACCTCCAGCAAACTCCAACAGACTTGCAGCTGAGGATCCTGACTGTTAGAAGGAAAACTAACAAACAGAAAGGACATCCACACCAAAATCCCATCCATACATCACCATCATCAAAGACCAAAGGTAGATAAAACCACAAAGATGGGGAGAAACCAAAGCAGAAAAGCTGAAAATTCTAAAAATCAGAGCGCCTCTTCTCCTCCAAAGGAACGCAGCTCCTTGCCAGCAATGGAACAAAGCTGGACAGAGAATGACTTTGACGAGTTGAGAGAAGGCTTTAGACGATCAGTAGTAACAAACTTCTCCGAGCTAAAGGAGGATGTTTGAACCCATTGCAAAGAAGCTAAAAACCTTGAAAAGTAGATTAGATGAATGGCTAACTAGAATAACCAGTGTAGAGAAGACCTTAAATGACCTGATGGACCTGAAAACCATGGCAAGAGAACTACGTGACGCATGCACAAGCTTCAGTAGCTGATTCAATCAAATGGAAGAAAGAGTATCAGTGATTGAAGATCAAATGAATGAAATGAAGTGAGAAGAAAAGTTTAGAGAAAAAAGAGTAAAAAGAAATGAACAAAGCCTCCAAGAAATATGGGACTATGTGAAAAGACCAAATCTACGTCTGATTGGTGTACCTGAAAGTGATGGGGAGAATGGAACCAAGTTGGAAAACACTCTTCAGGATATTATTCAGGAGAACTTCCCCAACCTAGCAAGGCAGGCCAACATTCAAATTCAGGAAATACAGAGAACACCACAAAGATACTCCTCGAGACAAGCAACTCCAAGACACATAATTGTCAGATTCACCAAAGTTGAAATGAAGGAAAAAATGTTAAGGGCAGCCAGAGATAAAGGTCAGGTTACCCACAAAACGAAACCCATCAGACTAACAGTGGATCTCTCGGCAGAAACTCCACAAGCCAGAAGAGAGTGGGGGCCAATATTCAACATTCTTAAAGAATAGAATTTTCAACCCAGAATTTCATATCCAGCCAAACTAAGCTTCATAAGTGAAGGAGAAATAAAATCCTTTACAGACAAGCAAATGCTGAGAGATTTTGTCACTACCAGGGCCTGCCTTACAAAAGCTCCTGAAGGAAGCACTAAACATGGAAAGGAACAACTGGTACTAGCCACTGCAAAAACATGCCAAAAGCAGATCACTTTTTAACCCCCTGCATACATGTAACCAATTGTTCCCATTTAATTAATGAAGGCTTCCATAGCTTTGGAATAGATTTTCCCCCAAGGGTTATACAAATGATTAATTTTAACAACATTTCACAATTGTGATCATAACAGCTCAAAAGAAAATGAATAATGAACGTGAAACATTAACACAAGTATATTCTCTTTTAATTATTTGTTGTCTAGTTTTATTGAAATTGCTCAGAAATAACTAAAAATTTGAAAAATAACTATAGTCATCAAACTCGAGCTGCTATAATTATAAACTGTTGACATACTATGTCATTGTTAACCATTAGAAAATTAATACCATGTTTCTGAAAAGTCAATATATTTGTAATAACTTAGAAACTTCATTGTATATAAGTTATGACACAAATAATTAAAAGTACTCATTTTAAAAATGTATGCCTTTTTATTAGTAAAAATACATATTCCACCATTCAGGCACTATAAAAATGTGCTCTTTTTCGGTTATTACTTTCTTTCAACATCCTAACATGTAAAATCTAATACATTTGTGCCACTGTTATTATTACTGTCTTCTATATTCTAAAGTATTTTTATGTGGCAACATCACATTTTCCTTATACACTTTTAGTATAATTACAGCTATGCAAAAAGTTATTATAATTGTAGTGCTTAAAATTTATATGACACTTTTCATCTTATCTAAGTTATAACTAAATAGGTAATTAATCTATAACATCTCTAAAGTGGTGTGCAAGCATTTCATCTACGTTAATTATACAAACGATGAAAGTAAACATTATACTACATATATATAAACACTGCAAGATGATCTAGTCAGATGGAAATGGTTCTATTAAGCTTCGAATTAATCTGCTAGGAGATGCTATAAAGTGCATAAAAGAGGGATCAACAAAACAATAAGCAGAAACATATGAAAATACTTGAAAGTTCTTTTAATGTGTGTGTATGTGTATATGTTCGTGTGTGTGTGTATATATATAAGTATGCACAAAATGATAGTATTCTTAATACATCATCAAAGGTGATACAAATTGTGTCAACACAGATAAATTTTTATTTTTACCTATTTCTAAGTAATTAATTATAAAAAGAAAGGGAGAGGCATAACGCATTGATAGCGGCATTAAAATATATATTGGGGAAAGATGGCCAGTAGGATATCACTGCTTTTGGTTGTATCTAGACAAGCCAGTATTAGTCATGATTAAGTCATTCATTCTACAAATATTTAATGAACTTCTACTCTGTGCTAGGCTCTGCTGTATGTGCTGAATGCAAAGTGCCGACCCTCCCAGAAATTACTTTCCAGTGGCCACTCAAGATTTCTTTGTGAATGGTATTTCTCCTTTAGCCAGCTCATAAAAATAGCAGCTGAAAAAGAAAAGTTGTAGAATCCATAAATAACTGTCAAAGTTTAGTCAGAGATGATTGCAGTGTCCTGAGAGATTTGACAGTGTAAGTGCTGGGAGTGATTTGAAACAAAAAGTATATGATTACTGTTATTAAGAGTGTTTTTCATGGGAGATTGTATCAGATGCATGATGGTAGGCTCAACTATGGAAAAAAATATTATCCTTAGTTTTTGGGCTTCAGATATATTCATAATCATCTGAATGTAGTTTGAGCACAGAGAATCTATGACTTCAGCCTTTTTTATCTTACACATGTAATACCAAATCTTCAACTATATTTGCTATACTGGAGGATTGTTAGAATTAATAATAATGACAAGAATATCTAACATTTATTACTGAGTGCTTGGTATGTACTAGCTACTGTTTTAAGACATTTCATGAATTATCTAATTGGATGTTCATATTTCTTTGAAATTCCAGTGTGAAGTTTTTCTTTGTCTGTAAATGTCTTTATAGTAAAAACGATTTGAGTCCTGGACGTGGCATCCTTGGTTCAGTTTTCATTCAATTATTCCAGCAACTCATTATCTTGTTATATATTTGATGCATTTAAGAATTTTTTGAAATGCCTCAATCAGGTTATTTTATAAAATACGGACGAAGGATAGGCTTTAGTTTCTATTATGAAATTACTAGAAAGTCCCTTGTATGTGCATTTTACTTATTTAATTCAACTATGAAATGAGATGTAGGAAAAAAATAGTCCCATTGTTATCCTTAAATTTCATTTTTAATCATTCCCCAAATGATTCTACGACTCCACCGATAGGACAAAACCAAAGTAAAATAAGCCAAAAGAAATAGATGGTGAACCTTTTTACAGTTCCTGGAGATATGAGAGTGATTTAAGAATTTTTCAAAGATAACACGGACTGTATACACTTCAAAATTATGAGTTAATTTAAAAATACAACCTCTGAATTACATGCAATCTTACTACACTACCTGTGTCATTAGCATCTGCTTCTCTCAAAAACAGATTTGCATTCTCCAAACTCACTTGCCTATCATGTATACTTAAAACTAAAGTTATAATAAGCTGTAAAAATATTAATGATAATTTACTAGTAGGATAGATTACTTAAAAACATGTCAAGTGTTACGCTGAGTGCAGAACAGAACAAGAAAACACAGAATAATGGAAAGATATAACAATACTGTAAGTTAGTGAAAGATACATTTCGCATTCTAAGAATTTTAAGGAACCTTTGATAAAAGTGGAAATATTGGGAAAAGTGTAAAGTATGAGGTTTTGTTTGTTGGTTGGTTTGGTAAGTCCCATCCTGGTAAAGCTCACAAAACATCCTAATTTGTAGAGCAAGTGCTAATGATCAGTGGAGCAGATGTGGCTCATAAAATTTCGGCTGAAAATGACTATAATCATCAGTCTTAGAAAATAGCAGCATTCAGAGGTCTCTGTGGTCTTATACCAGATAGGCTATTCAGAGAGGTGGAAGAGGTTGCTTCAGGTACTAGGATGTAGTTTTGGGAGACTTATAGTTTCTACCTGGCACAGAGACAGGGTCATACAGTAAATCTGGTGCATTCCTTTTAGTGCTATAATTTTACCAAGCATGGAGAAGACATAATGCTGAAATAAATTTCCCTGTAGAGGTGAGGGCATATTTCTGGGTCTGTCCCCAGTCTCTTGTCATTGATAATATTTGTATCAGTTCTAAAAACCAGGAAAAGATGGTATCCACATTCTACATACTTGAAGGAATATAGGACGCTACAAAAGTGAGTGGAAATGTGACCAGAATGAAGAAAGAGCTCACACAGCCTGTAACTCACCTGTTTGTATCTGACAACTGCTCTTATCAGGAAAGTTGGCCAGATTCTGACTAAACCTCAATAACTATCTTATTTGGAAGGATGAAGGCGGGATCTGACAGTGTTCCAGTGTGTGTATAGAGAAGAGTTGTGGAAGCAATGTGTTTGGTTATAAATCTGAATCTCACCAACACCTGTGGAACACACATCAGCTATTGGAGATCATATCAAGCAGGGATTACTCCATGTACACTAGACATATATACTGTACCTATCAAAGAGAACTAGCATTTTACTTATAGTAGTTCCAGGCTGCTACATCCCACACAGGGAAAAAAGGTATAGCAAAAAGTAAATGCTCACTGTTTATGGTGCCTTTGGGTCTCATTCATTTTTATATTACTGCATCTCTGAACTGATGTGGTTCAGCCAAGTAAAATAACCATTCCCATTTTTTCCCTTCTTGACTCATATAATGTTACAGATCATCTCAAGACATCAGATGACCCAATAACAAAGATGAAAATAAACAACAAATAAGAATGGCAAACAGTAAAACTACTAGACATATGAAAACAAAGAGACTACGTTATAGAAAAAGAATAGTTTCCTTTCAATGAAATAGAATTATTACAATAAACAGGAGGGCATTTTAGAAAATGTCTAATTTTTTTGAAAATATAATTGGAGAGGACAAAATACCAAGAAATCTAGAGCAAGTTGTATGTGATAAACTAAAATCTTGAAATGTGAAAGGTTTAATGGAGACAGAAAAAGTAATATCAAATTTTAAAATGATAATAACCCCAAAAGGAAGCAATGAGTGACAGCTGCATAAACTAAAAAAGACATTTTATATGAGTCTGAAAATTTCTATTGGAAATCAGAATTTTTTTTCATTTATTCACTAAAAGAAAATGTCTTCCACATAAAAATAAAAGAAAAAAAATGAGAAAATCAAGTTAAAAATCAGAAAATATTATGTAACACACAAGATTGAATCTACTAGTTATTAGTATACAGGAATCAGTTAAAATTACCTATGAAAAGACAAGGATTTCCAGATTTGATTGCAAAACAAAATTAACTATATGTCATTTATTAAAGACAAAGCAGAATAAAAATTGTTTAAAAATTAACTTCAAACAAAGCCTACTTAAAATGCTATATGTAACTGTAGTATTAATATTTAATATTGAATAAAGATGACTTTAAAAATAAAGTGTCTCATATTACTAATAAAGAATATATATGTATATAAAATGAATTATAAGCCATTAGAGCACAGCAGATAATATTAAAAATAAAAAGAGAATTTAACAAAAGTATAAGTATAGTGGAAGACTCCAGTGCATAACTTATTAGTCCTTAAGACATCAACAAAGAATACAGACTATCTTAATTACACAATTAAAAAAGCCAGTTTAACCGTTGTACTAAATTTGGCATGGAACACACCAAGAATAAACATATTTTCCAAAAACTATTGCACCAAGTCAAATATAGAAATAAGATATCTCAGTTTCTGACATTGTGATAAAACTGGATAATACAAGTTTTAACAAACAAAAACTTCAAATACTGATAAATGTATATCAAAAATCACTATCTTAAATAATTCATTTAAAGATAAACTCAAAACTATGATATGCAGACCAGTTAAAAATAATAGCAGATATATACAGTCATGTGCAGCTTAACAACAGGAATATGTTCTGAGAAAATGCATTGTTAGGCAATTTTGTCGTTGTGTGAATGCCATGGAGTGTACTAACATGAATCTAGATGTATAGCCCAGGGGTCCCCAAACTTTTTGGCACCTGGGACCGGTTTTGGGGAAGACAATTTTTCAATGGACGGATAGGGGTGGGCAGTGGTGCAGTATAAAGCGGGGATGGTTTCAGGATGAAACTGTTCCACCTCAGATTATCAGGCATTAAGTAGATTCTTACATGGAACACACAACCTAGATCCCTCACATGTGCAGTTCACAATAGGGTTCACACTCCTGTGAGAATCTAATGCTGCAGCTGGTCTGACAGGAGGTGGAGCAGTAATGCTTACTAGCTGGCGGCTCACCACCTGCTGTGTGACCCAGTTCCAAACAGGCCACTGATGGGTACAGATCAGCGGCACAGGGGTTAGGGACCCCTGGTATAGCCCACTACATACCTAGGCTATATGGTGTAGCCTATTGCTCCTAGGCTACAAACCTGTACAGTATGTTACTGTACTAAATAGTGTAGACAGTTTTAACACAGTGGTAAGTATTTGTGTATTCAAACATACCTAAACACAGAAAAGGTACAATAAAAGTATGATATAAAAATTAAAAATGGCTCAGCTGTTTGGGCACTTATCATAAATTAACTTAGTAGGACTGGAAGTTGCTCTGAGTGACTAGTGAGTAAATGTGAAGGCCTAGGATATTACTGTCCACTACTGCAGACTTCATAAGTGCTATACACTTAGGCTATGCTATATTTATAAAAAATAATATTCTTTCTTCAATAATAGATAATTACTTCAACTTATCTTATAAACATTTTAATTGTTTTTAATTTTTTGGCTCTTTTATAATGACACTTAGCTGAAAACACAACCACATTATGCAGCTTTACAAAAATATTTTCTTTATATTCTTATTCTATAAGCTTTTTTATATTTTTAATTTTTTAACATTTTTGCTCTGTAAACATTTTGTTAAAATCTAAGACAAAGACACACAGATTAGCCTAGTATGAAACAGGGTCAGGATCATCTACGCAGTGTTTTCCAGCTCCACATCTTGTCCCCTGGAAGGTCTTTGGGGCAGTAACACAAGTGGAGCGGTCATCTCCTATGGGAACAATTCCTTCTTTTCTTTTCTAATACCTCCTGAAGGATATTCCAGAGACTGTTTCACAGTTAGCTTTTTAAAAAAATAAGTAGTACACTCTAAAATAATGCTTAAAAGTATAGTATAGTAAATACATAAACCAGTAACACAATCGTTCTTTAGCATTATCAAGTATTCTGCACTGTACATAATTCTGTGCTATATTTTCAAATGACAGGCAGTGCAATATATTTGTTTCCACCATTATCATAGCCAACACATGAGGAATGCTTGTCGTTCTGACAGCTAAGACTTCATTAGGCGACAGGAATTTCTGAGTTCCATTATAATCTTATGGGATCACTTTCATACATGCCGTCCTTTGTTGACTGAAATATTATGCAACACATGATAATATGGCTTGGCTCTGTGTCCCCACCCAAACCTCACCTTGAATTGTACTCCCATAATTCCTATGTGTTGTGGGAGGGACCTGGTGGGAAATAATTTGAATCATGGGGGCAGTTTTCCCCATACCGTTCTCATGGTAGTGAATAAATCACACGAGATCTGATGGGTTCATCAGGGGTTTCTGCTTTTGCATCTTCCTCATTTTCTCTGGCTGCCACCAAGCAAGAAGTGCCTTTCACCTCCTGCCATGATTCTGAGGACTCCCCAGCCATGTGGAACTGTAAGTCCCATTAAACCTCTTTTTCTTCCCAGTCACGGGTATGTCTTTATCACCAGTGAGAAAACAGACTAATAGGCATGACTATATATATCAAAATACGTGGATCTGTGTTCAAAGAATAAGTGATAAAGAAGGAAAATGCAGCTCAATAAGCTACAGAAGACCAAAATAACACAATATTTTCTTCAAAATATGAGCCAGAGTTTAGTACTTCTGCTGCATTTAATAAAGTATTATGGGTTTTTTTCAATGTTATATTTTTAGAATTTTTATAGATTCAGGTCTTAGGTTTAAGCCCTTAATCCATCTTGAGTTGATTTTTGTATAGGTGAGAGATGAGGAACCAGTTTCATTCTCCTACATGTGGCTAGCCAATTACTCAACACCATTTTTGAAAAGGGTGTCCTTTCCCCACTTTGGCTTTTTGTTTGCTTTGTCGAAGATCAGTCGGCTGTAAGTATTTGGGTTTACTTCTAGGTTCTCTATTATGTTCCATTGGTCTATGTGCCTACATTCACCTCTGAGCAAGAGGTGAATGGGATATGCTGACTGACTTTGGTGCAGAATAATTAAGGAATCAGAGAGACTGAGGGGTTGAGGAGGAATTATTTAATTATTTAGGTGCACTGACCCAGTCGGATTAACATCCAAAGGACTGAGCCCCGAACAAAGAGTCAAGCTACCTTTTAAGCATTTCGTGGGGTGGGGGGAGATCTGTGCAGGGGGAAGCATATTACAGAAGTGAGAAACAAAGACAGTTATTCAATTAAGACATGCATTACATTATTTATTACTTTTCAAGGAACAACATGTTTTACAACTTGAGATTATCTGTCTAGTGACCTTGCAGCTGCACAGCTAGAGAAACAGTCTTCACAATGCCTGGGAAAGGGAGAAATAAGGCTCACTAGCCACAGAGAGAAAAACAGAGAGTTAATTTTAAAGGACTCCAGCCTTTTTCTCTTCCTCACGGGGAACTGGGTTTGCTTACATACAACTGAGTTTTTGCTTACACAATCTTTTTTTTTTTTTTTTTTTTTTTTTTTTTTTTTGAGACGGAGTCTCGCTCTGTCGCCCAGGCTGGAGTGCAGTGGCGGGATCTCGGCTCACTGCAAGCTCCGCCTCCCGGGTTCACGCCATTCTCCTGCCTCAGCCTCCCAAGTAGCTGGGACTACACGCGCCCGCCACTACGCCCGGCTAATTTTTTGTATTTTTAGTAGAGACGGGGTTTCACCGTTTTAGCCGGGATGGTCTCGATCTCCTGACCTCGTGATCCGCCCGCCTCGGCCTCCCAAAGTGCTGGGATTACAGGCGTGAGCCACCGCGCCCGGCCACAATCTTTAACTTCTTTTAATTCCTGTTCCAACTTTAGCAAATCAGTCTACCCCTACAACATAAAGCACATGCACTGTGTGAAAAATGCCTGAGACACTCTGGAATTGGGATACTTTTACTAAGAGATAGAGAGCATTAACTCTGAGGAGTGATGAAAGTTGGTTATGTAGGATTTAAGTTGAAGTTTTTAAACAAGTATCTATGATTGCCTATACTGATGGAATTATGTTCCCTGAAAAGCAGATAAATGATTTTGTTTTATTTTTACAGCCCAAAGGATAGCTGACACATGAGCCTGTGGGTTTTTAAACAAATAATTTTCATCAAAAATATAAACATTTAAATTTAGTCTTATAAAAGATGCATTTCTTTGACAATGTTGGTTAGTACTGACTAATAAACATTAAAGATTGTTATCACAAAAATGAAAATACCCCACATAAATCCATATTGAATATGAAATATAAGAAATGTGAGAATGATTATTTCCATGCCAAATGTAATAAAATGGCTCACAATACAATTTTAGAAGGATAAGCAACATACGTTTTGGAATTCTGATTTTTTAGGGTAACTATATCTAGGAAAAATAATATCTGTATTTTATAAAAAGTAGATAATATAAGGCAATGCTTTCCTAACTCAATACAAATGGCTGACTTGAACATGATATCTGAATAAGAAAATTCTCTAGTGTTGCTTTTCTTCTTTATTGAGAAAGCTGATACAAATTCATATGTACAAAGAGTAAATATAAGATTAAAATATTAATTTAGACTCCAGTAGAAGTAATGTTTTCAATGATTTTTTTTCTGAAATAGGTATGAGCTTATAATAATACATCCATTACATAATCTTAAAAATTTATGTTGGTATCTGGATTCAATATTTATTTTAAATTTATAAATTTTCAGTAAACCTGGTCAAAATATTCCTCACCTGAATTAAACTTACCACTGAGCTAAAACCATATTGTATTTAGTTTGAATATATGCTGATGCACAATACTACCTAACCATTATAATTATTTTTACTCTCACCACCATCACCATCATATCTCTATTATCATTATTATTACTAGTACTATTTCTACTATAATGTTGACTACCTTTGCTGAAACTATTAAAACTGTTATTATATAATAACTAATTCATACTTTGTTAGTTCATCAGTGATAGAACTATAGTGAAAACATCTCTCAAGTTTTCCAGACCTTAACGTTGAAAAGCACAGCATTTGAAATAGACAGATCATGCCAATTACTAGCCATACGGCTTTGGACAAGTAATTTATTCTCTCTGAACCTCAGTTAATTCCTCCATAAAATGTGATAATAATATCTATCTCTTAGTCTATTGAAAAATAGTACAATAATGTATATAGAATACATGGATCTAGAAGCTGATAGTACATATAATATTCTGGGGATCAATAAATACTAATTCATTTCTGATCCAGGCAAATGACCCTTATCTTTCTGTCCTTGTTTTAAGATGTTCTTCATAGGGTGAGTTTTCTATTGCTCTCAAAATTTCATATACTCATATTTGGACATTCTCTAGGTCCATTACATATTTCTTGAAGTACAAGGTTCTGAATAATAGCTGATACACATGATCTACAAAGGGGTATTTTGCAATAATTAAAAGTTATGCTGAATTTGGCATTTATTCTTTTATTTTGTATAAATTTTTTATTTCAATAGACATTATTTTTCATTGTCTTGAGAAAAATGTGCTAAAATATTTTAATGAATTTTTACTGGCTTTATGTCATTAGTCAGACTTTGATGTTTATCTTACGAGACCCTTAATTCTTTTATGATAATTTACTGATAATCAAGATAGTAGTATCAAAGTAAGGAGGTGATTTATAAAAACTGGTTTTTTTTTCAGCCTGCACAATACAACCGTTAAGAAAATCTTCTATTTAATTTGTAAAAATAAGCTGCTTAGGCTGTATATTATATAACTAAAGTCTTGGCTACATTATTATAGCAGCCATAATTAATAGTCTTCCTCAAATATAAACTATTGTGTGGCCCATTTAATTCAATTGTAAGAATCAAACTGACTAGTACATTTTTAAAACGAGAATAGATAACACTAAAGGCAGTAAAATTATAAATGACACAAGTGATTAAAATGAAAAATTCCATAAATTTTTTTGATGGTAAGAATTTAGTCTCTCTCTGGACAGCTTTCAACACCAAGCTTTTTTAGGATCTACCAGTCTGGGGAAGTTTGTACATATTTATTCTCATGCTGAAATTAAAAACAAAAATCTCTTTGTCTTGAAATTAACATGAATGTATTCAATGAGTACTCAATAAATACTTTCTGATTATCTGTCTGAAACATTTGAAATATTTTCTTTATTTGTAAGCAAATATAATATGTGACTTATAACAGAATGGAATGAGCAGTTACATACCAAGGAGAATATGAACTTTCCTTTTTCAATATAAATTGATTCTAAAATTCAACAGTGTTTAGACGATTCTCTTTTTTTTTGCCTGAATTTTTCTATTGAGCTTATGACTTAGAATAATTCTTCCTTTCATCACTTCTTCCACAATCTTATGAAATTATAAAACAATTACACTACCTGTAGAAACTTTCTTGTAATTAAAACACAAGTGAAAAACTGACGGCTGGGCGCGGTGGCTCACGCCTGTAATCCCAGCACTTTGGGATGCCAAGGAGGGCAGATCATGAGGTCAGGAGATCGAGACTATCCTGGCTAACACGATGAAACCCCGTCTCTACTAAACATACAAAAATTAGCTGGGCATGGTGGCGGATGCCTGTAGTCCCAGCTACTCGGGAGGCTGAGGCAGGAGAATGGCGTGAACCCTGGAGGCGGAGCTTGCTGTGAGCAGAGATCGCGCCACTGCACTCCAGCCTGGGCTACAGAGCGAGACTCCGTCTCAAAAAAAAAAAAAAAAAAAAAAGAAAAAAGAAAAACTGACAGTAGGGTTAAATGTTATTATTTCTCAAAAGGATCCCAAATTGATATGTCAAATTAAATCAAAGTACAAATTTACTTCTAAACATGGCATCATTCATTTTTTCATCATATTGATGGATTCAGTTTCTTTACCGAGTCTATATATTTTCTCAGTTCAGAAACAAAGTGACTTGTTCTTTATATTACTCTCCTTGGGAGAAACATCTGCTAAGTATTTGAGACTTAAGTATTTTCCTGTGTCTAGAAGAAGTACCTTTGTTATTGCTTTGTTTCATACCTATATTTGCATAATTTTGTTCAAGAGAAGTATACTTTCTTTTCCAATTACTACCTATTAGAAAAATAAGCAGATAAAATGTACTTAGAAAGCACATGTTAAGTAATTTGCTCATTTATATTTGATTAGATTGCTCTTTAATTGTATCTGGGAAGGTTTAGAGCGTAGAGAGTGGGAAACAAATACTTAAGCATTGCAGTAGCCTGCCACCCATCAAAAGCACTTCACTTCTTAAATGTCAGTATCCTTATTTGTAAATGACGACTTTGTTACTTGTCTTGCCTTATAAGCTTTTGGAAGCATTTTAGAGTAAATGAGTTTTTTGATAAAGCACTGCAAATTTAAGATCAGTTTGATAATTTTCTCTAATTTAAAATGTACAATAAAAGATGGACAGCTTATCTTTTATGAAGATTCCTTAAAAGCTCTAAATACAATCAGGGTTACTTCACTGGATTAATAACAGAATTAAGTCAGTATTTATTGCACTAACTTCCTACACTTATTATAATGCAGGTTATTACCTGTGGTAACTTCTTTTCTAATAAATGGATTCAAAATCCTTATATGTAAAGATCCAAGGAGCTGCAATTTACAATGAAAAACAGTTTGATGCTTAATAAATCTCCTTTAATAAGCATTCAGTTAAGTAAAAGTGTTAAAATTTTGGTAAAAATATCTGTAAGAATTTATTCATGACTTTGCAATAGACCTTTTGGATGACACATATTCAATTAGGGAAAAACAAGATGAAACAAAAACAAAGTAATCATCTCATTCCATGGAGAACTTAGAAATATGCAATTTAGTTGCTAAATTTAGGTTTTATTTCAAACTTAGGAGATTTTATTCCTAATTTTACGTCACTATAACAATAACTAAAAATACTAAAAAGTTCAAATGCTACGTTTGCATTTTTTATTTTTCTTGAATTCAAGAAGAAAAAACAGCATATAATTAATCACATTATTTCTAGTTATGTGTTTTACAATTCTATGTTACTCATAAATCGTGACCATTTTTGTTTTCAGTTATGATAGCCACTTAGTTAGACTCAAATAATGTTTTCTAATAGTCTTGTCTAAATAATTCACAAACAGGATCCACAAGTTCCAAAATGTAATATTTTATTTGATTAACCAGTAATTTTTAGTCCTCATTTTTGCTTGGACATAACTTTGTCAAGAATATTATAGGACTATATACATTTCTTACTATCTATATTCACTTCAAAATTTTAGCTAATATAGATTTCAAGTTCTTGTTTCTTGCAGAATCTCCCACCCCAAACCCATTATAAAAAGGTTTGTTTGGAAAAAGAAATATTTTTTTGATATGGTGTGGTTTTTGTTGTAAGTAGGGTTTATAAATTTAAGGACCACCCTTCATCCACCAGTTTTTAATTTAATCATGGGTTTCTTGTGCCTGATAGCAGCATAACCCATTTTTCTATTTTTTTTCCTTTGTCACCCTCACTAATGAAACCAGTAATAGTCCTGAACCCCATGCCGTTTTGTCATGTAGTTACAGCTTGTCCTTTTATAAAAGAAAATTAGAAAACTGCTGAGTGTTATAGATATTAATGGTTGTTAGAAAAGCATAATAAAAGCCTCTCTTTCTGGAGCACTGCTAAGCTTTTATGTCATTATTCATGAGTGACTAATGCATTCAAAGAAGAGTGCCGATCTCTAAGGCTGGGATGATGAACAGTGGAGAGGGACAGAATGGCTAAGAGAAAGTCGTTTGTCAAATGTGAAGATTTAATAACAGGCTTGCCTACAATAAGATATTTCAGCTGAACTTAGAAAAAGAAACTTTTCTTACATATGAGGTATTATTCATGGTATTTCAAATCACCAGGAACAAATCTATAGGATACCTTTGTTTAAATGAATATTTTTCAGGAACACACACAACCCCCAAATCCAGAAAGTAAGCGTCTTATGAAATGCCATTGAACTATACCTGTTTTATTTCTTTTATCATACCATATCACATATATATTGCTCAATTTGTGGGTAGTTAAAAGAATCATAAATAGAGCATCTGGATTTGTTGGTGTTCTTTGACTGTAAGCAATGAAAACCAACTCAGGGTTTATATAAAACATGAGTTTATTAGAAGGATATAGAGTAGCTTTTGAAATCCTAGGAAAGTCTGAAGATCAAGGAGGACAGGATCAAAGACGTTTCTAGAAGTATGGTAGGAGGAACTAATGGACAGTCTCATGAGGGTAATGCCATTAGTAAAAATCACCTCCCAACATTTTTGTTTTAAACGTTTTTCAGTTCAAATTTCAAATTCCAAAGACAGACAGCCATATGACTATCAGGGGAGAGTATGTGCGTGATCTTATTTGTAAGGTTTCAGGCAAAGGCTGGATGGTGTAATTACGCAAGCAAATATTGAGGTTGTATTACTTAAAAAAGTAAGGGGGGGCAGACAAGATAAACGCTGGGAAGATAAAAGGATAGTTATGAACTATACCTGCCTTCTGGATATCTCTCAGGCCTATTTATTTTCTTTTTCCGCAACAAACACAAAATTATAGTGACCATTTACATAGTGTCCTAAACTACATGCTTTCCTGTGACACTGATTAGAATCTGTCCCTTAGAGAATGTCAGCATCATCTTTGATTTAGCAGCATCTTAATGTTGTATAGAAGTGTAACAACTTATAACTGCAGGATAAAATATGTTTTTCAGATTAAGGTGATCAATAACCTCTAATTCCAAACACATTATTGCTAAATTACGATGCATGTGAAATCTGGATACAAGTTAACTACTGATTAATTCATTGTGACTCGCTTGGCTTAGGGATACAGTTTAAACATGGAAAGATAAGAGAAGAAAATAATTTTGTTCATTTGGACTAAAACTGTAGTTTTGGTTTCTTCAGAACAACTCAAGAATTTATATTATTACTGGAGAATTAGTTTTGCTTCATTTTCTCATAGATTAGTAATACATAAAGGGAATTTGATTTTGCAAACATTATTGTTTAAAACATCAATAAATATATCCATAAAATAATCACTCTATTAGTCTGTTAGATAGATCAGTCATCCATTAATTCAATTAAGAATTATTGAGTCTTTTATGTTCTAAGAAGTGTTCTAAAAACAGGGGCTCTATTTGGTGGGAAAAACAAAATGAAACAAAATAAAACTCTGTCTTTATGTAGCTCACATTCTACTGGAAATATACAAGATAAATATACCCATGAATATATAATAAAATGCCAGCTAGTTGCATGTGCTATGAAGAAAAAAGAAAGCATGGAGATGGAGAATAATGGAGGTGGGGGTGGTGACGTGGAGGACAAATATTTTAGATAGAGTGGTTAGGAAGGGCATCTATAAGTGTGTCCTTTGAATAGGAATGACAATAAGATTAGACAAGCAGTTACATCACGAAGACGTTATGCAATGTGAAAGAGTTGGTCAATTAACATCTGATAGGGTTTCGTTATTCTTTAAGTGTTATATTACTCAAGATCCCATCAGTTATTTCTTTTCCTACCCTGCAAACATTTCCTACATTCTCTTATCCACTCATATCTTTGTTTTTTTGTTTTTGTTTTTTCTTTTTTTGAGATGGAGTTTTGCTCTTGTCATCCGGTCCGGCATGCAATAGCGTGATCTCAGCTCACTGCAACCTCCGCCTCCCAGGTTCAAGTGATTTCCTGCCTCAGCCTCCCAAGTAGCTGGAATTACAGGCACACACTACCACGCCTGGCTAATTTTTGTATTTTTAGTAGAGACGAGGTTTCACCATGTTGGCCAGGCTGGTCTCGAACTCCTAACCTTGTGATCCGCCCACATCGGCCTCCCAAAGTGCTGGGATTACAGGCATGAGCCGCGCGCCTGGCTCACTCATATTTTTGACTATAAAAATATGATAAGATTATTATATGCGAAATCCTATCTGGTGTCCTGAGCTCCATTACAGACTTCAGACTTCAACTGTTTAGTGTCTGTCAGGATACCAGAATGTCCCAGAGTCACCTTATATACATTCTTTCCAAGTCGAAATGAATTATTTTCAGCATCCCATTCATATTCCTTTCTTAACTCTGTAACCACATATAGAAACCTACAGCCATTCTTGACTACTTTTTCCTCATGGAAACATAAGACTCAATTTATTTTGCATCTTAAATATTTCATAAATAAAAAAGCTGCTTCTGTTCATTCTGACTACCCTCATCCTTTATCATTGATTACTTGCACTTTTGCAACAGCTTCCCATATATTTTCCTAGGCTTCAATTAAATATCCTCATCTGTCCTTCTACTGACCTTACTGAGATAATTGTATATATGACTTTGTCAGGCTCCTTCTTAAAACCATTCAGTGACTGTTATTGCCTAAAGTCCAAGCTCCTTATAAAACATTACTTCTTATATAATCAGTCCTAAGTTTAAACAAGCCCTTTGATTAAATCTAATAAATTCTTATCAGTTCTTTACTCACCTTATACGCTCAAGAAAAGTATTTAACAAAATCGACCATGTCTAGGAACTCTCTTTGGATTCTGTGATGCCATATTTTGCAGACATTTGTAGGTGCTATGGCCAGATTCCTTCCGATTACTTTTATCATATCTGCATACCTATACTCCCCTCCTATGAAACTTGCTTCTAACTTCCTGCATTTGCAGTTAAATTTTAAGGACTGCATACAGACAACTGTGACCCTTTTGCAGAGAACAGACAGTACGTGGGAGCCAATAACCACATGGAGCTGACTTCGGCAAATACCCTATGAGAGTATAAAAGTTCAGCTCATTTGCATGGAGTTGGGAAAAATTCTGAGGAGCATTTTACCCTTCAGGTCTTGCCTAAGGAAGCAGGCTACAGTTGGGATTTTCCCAATAATCACACACTTACATGGTTTCTTCCTCTTCCCTACTCCCTTACCAGTTTCTCCAGAAATACTTTTCTAATAAATCACCAGAATGTGAATCACGTTCTGAAAGGCCTGCTTCTGAAGACATGATTAAATACTCCACTCTATCCTGTTTCCTTTATCCTGCTTGGCTCCTCTTCCTTGCTTTCCGCTACCAGCTTTTCCTTCTTCATCCAACATACAAATTCCTGAGTTCCTCAGCACTCAAACTCAGACTCATTTCTCATTGCACTCTATACCCCCTCCTTAGGCAATTTTGCCCATACCTATGACTAATGTTACAATCATTTTTTTTTTTTCACTACCCTAGACTTTTCTTCTCAGGGTTAGACAATATACCTAACTGCCTCCTCAGGATTCCCACTTGGATATCAGGCAACTCAAACTCAATGTATCTCAATGATCTAGCTCAACAAACATTGTATATAACATATATATATATTTCCATATATATCCATATATATATTTCCATATATATATCATGTATATATTTCCATAGATATATCATGTATATATTTCCATAGATATATCATGTATATATTTCCATAGATATATCATATATATATTTCCATATATATATTTCCATAGATATATCATATATATATTTCCATAGATATATCATATATATATTTCCATATATATCATATATATTTCCATATATATATTTCCATATATATCCATATATATATAAAATACAAATCATCTCTATATTAGGTACTCACACTATGGAGGAAAATTAACAAGAGAACTGCTGGCTTAAGCGGGCATTCAGACTTGGAGGAGGAAGGTAGAAAGTTCTTTTGGACTAGTGTCAGGAAGAGAGGAACTTTCCTTATAAATTAGCAGCCACAGACAGCCTGCCTTGTATCAAGAGGGGTGGAGAGGAACAGTTAGACAATAATATCCTGTGCAAGAGGATGTGGGGAGGAACAGCTGGAAGATCACGTGTGAAAGGCCACAATGGAAAATGCTGTGTCCTTCAGAGTCTCTCCCAACATCATCTTCCTGGGTCCTCATGACTTCCCTCCATCTTGTTTGCCTCACCCTAGAGTAATTAACTATATTTCTACTGAATTTTTCTGATAATTTTCAAAATATTTTCTTTGCATCTAATCTTATCCTTCTATGATGTGTTTTACAGTGTTTTATTAAGTATTTAGAAATTATAAAAATCATTAAAGGCTATAAAAGATAAGACTAACATGCCAAATGACTAATTTATCCAGCAGTTTAAGAAACCCCCTGGGTGCTTCTCTCTTTCCTCAGGCATGACCATTTTTGTGACTTTTAGTTTCATCAGTCATTCCCTTGATTTCCTTAAAATTTTATCATTTATGTCTGTATCCCTAAAATATATTGTTTATTTTTCCTATATGTTTAAAAGACTTAACTATAAAATAATACTGTATATATTCTTCTATGACAACTTTTTTCACTCAAAATTATGTTCCTTATCTTCATATATGTTATATGAATCTTTTTTTAAAATTTTCACGGATGTATAATATTTCATTATATAAGTAAAATATAACTTATTTACCCATTCCAATGTTGATGGGTATTTGGGAGTTTTTCAATTTCTAAAGATTAACTTAATAACTAACATGAATCATTAATTAATTTACAATTATAAAAAGGCATTTCAATGAAAATGTATATATATGCTTTCTGATATACAAATATAAGAGTTTCTTTAAATAAGAATAGAAAAAAAACGGTTCTTTGAGGATATGACTTAAGCTTTACTAGACAATGCCAAATAATTTTCCACAGCATTTGTATCAACTTTATATTCATAATCCTACCTGCAGTGCATGAGAATTTTAGCTGCTCTGCATTTGCATTAAGAGTCATCCATTCCTCATCCAGCAGTTACTATGACCTTTTACAAATACAAATCTGATTAAGTCACCCAAACCTTGCCTAAAAGCCTTTAATGGTTTCTCAATGATCCTAAAATAAATTCTAAAAGTTTAACATTGTTGAAGGATTCTTTTTGCCCTGACCTCTCCCTCATTTAGTATTTTATATCATTCTTCTTGCCTTCTATGTCTATACTGGCCTTAAATTTCTTTTTTCTGCCCCAAGGCCTTCATATGATAAACTTCTTCCTGGAACTCTTTAATTCTACCTGTTCCTCTGATTAACTTTTCTCCTTTAGTCATATATTAAATGTCATTACAGCAAGGAAGCTTTTCTGGACTCTTCAGAATTGATTAACTCCCCTCATATTGCTGTAATTACACATTTTCTAAATATAACATTTATCTCAAAAATAATGAAGAAACAATTGTGGTTTAAAATGTGCCCCTATGTCCTTTGCAGGGACATGAATGAAGCTGGAAACCATCATTCTCAGCAAACCAACAAAGGAACAGAAAACCAAACACCGCATGTTCTCACCACATTATCTCCTATAAGTGAGAATTGAACAATGGGAACATGTGGACACAGGGAGGAGAACATCACACACCGGGGCCTGTCGGGGGGTGGGAGGTTAGAGGAGGGATAGCATTAGGAGAAATACCTAATGTAGATGACGGGTTGATGGGTGCAGCAAACCACCATGGTACATGTATACCTATGTAACCTGCATTTTCTGCACATGTCCCAGAGAACTTAAAGTATAATAAAAATAAAATAAAATAAAATAATATGTGCCCCCTACCAACCTTCACGTTCAATAGGTTCAATCATAGTTTCTTGTTCTGTGTTGTTCACAAATTTATTTAGAGCAACTAGAATGTACTTGACAAATAGTCAATGTTCATTATACATGCTGAATGAGAATGACTAATCTCCTCAACACATACACAGTATAGTTTATATTAATTTTCATTCTAGAAGAGATACATTTTTATTCAACCCATAGTTATGTTATTGTTTTACTTTGAATACCCCCAACTTCCAAGTGAGTGGTATGCTTTTCCCTGCCATTGATGCCATGATCTTCTTTGACCAATGAAATGTGCAGAGTGTCATGAAATCAGAAAGGTGAAATGTGCTCATTCTTTTAGGTGTGCCTTATTTCCTTCCACTGGCACCATGAGAGAGGAACATGGTTGAGCTAGCTTGCTGGTCTCTGAAAAATAAGTGTCACATAGACAAGTGTAGATAAGCCAAATACCATCTGATCAACAAATTCAGAGATAAATACTTCTTTTTGAATGCCTCTGAGATTTGGTGGTTATTTGTAGACAGAAAAAGTTAACACACAGAGTAGATAAATTTTTACAAAGGATACAATTCTTAGAAGGACACAAGTTTAACAGAGACAAGTTTCTCAAGGAATTATCAATAAAATAAAGTGAATTCAATTTAAGTTGAAATATAAATAAATAGCTGCTCAAATTCATTTTTTCAAAATAACTTAGATGAAAATGAAATACAAAGTTAAACACTGGAAAATTTGAGTGAAGAACTGCTTGATTTTAAACTGATTATAAGCCTTTTATCACATAAATCTTTTCATGTGTCTAGGCATAAAACAGTAAGGATCATGGCTGTCATCAGCTATGAATGACAATATACCTTACTATTGTATGGGCCAGCTTTAAACTGAACACTTTCTATTAGCTGTACAGAAAGGGTTTTGTAATCTTTTCTTGGAATGGCCCCTATTTTTCAGAGCTGAAATATAAAATGCTATTAACCAATTACCAGCTATACCTAATGTTCAAGTTTAGCTTTTTAGTCATAAAGAAAAAAAAGCTTTTTAAGTTTCAGAGGAAGTGAGTATATCATAACTAAAAGCTTATAATTTAACTCATGTAGATTATACAATTCAAGTGCAATTCATACCCGCTAAGACTATTTCTGGTGGCTTCAGCGACTGGAAATATCTCTAACCTTATAGGCCAAGAAGAGACCCGACAAAAGGAAGCCTTTCACTTCATGCCAGTGTAAGCTTGATGTCAGCATTTTCTACCTTTATTAGGAGAGTTACTGTCCTTTTCTTACAGGGGAGTGGTCTTATGTTAGGATCCAAACAACACTAATATGAGGAAACAGTAATTCTAAGGAAGCCTCATCAACTTTATTACTGACTCCCCTGGCTTTAGTCAGTCCTACTAAGGACAAACCTCTGACTTCAGTTAAGCAAGTCTGATTCTCTCTTGAAAACTGAGCATTGAAATTCAGGTTTAGCTAATTTGATCTATGGTTTATGCCCAGAATTTAGGTGATGTAAACAGGAAGGTGGTCATGTGGATGTGAAGAGAGAAAGTGAGGCCACACACAGAGAGATGAAAATCAAGCCAATATAGCACACATGTGCAGGTTAAAGATGGAGCTTCCTGCCTAGGTTCTCAGCTGTCAATTCCATTTTCTCCCTTGTGAAGAGGTCAGTGTACCCATGTTTATTTTCATGTAATTAAAGTGAGGTAAGAACTCTGATCTCTGGGTTGCTCATTTTCCTGTCAAACTTAGCTATGATCAAATGAGGTATTTTACATCAGAATCTATTATCTGTAATCTCAGCAATCAGCTACTAGGAAATGTCTCAGTATATACCAATCCTGCTTTCTCTCATTTTCATAGCTGTAGTTCTGTGCAAAATCTAATCCTTTACAGCTGAATAGCTGAATATATAGTAGGGGATTGTTTATATATTTATATTACATATTTAGATATTGGTGGTTACAATAACTACATAGGTAGGGATGGAGAGAGGCATTGTGGTCCATTCTTTTTTTTTTTTGTTTTTTTTGTGGAGGGTTGGGGGTTGTCGAGGCTTCAGTTGGGCTTTTCTTGTTTATAACCAAAATATATTACTGTGGATTCAGTTGTGTCCCTCTCAAAATTCATATGTTGAAGCTCTAACCACCAATGCAACTGTATTTGGCGATAGATCTTATAAGGAGGTAATTAAGTTAAATGAGGTCAGAAATGTGGGGACCTCATTCAAAAGGATTAATGTCCCCTTATAAGAAGAGGCTCCAGAGAACCCACTTATTGTCTTCAAAATCCCACAAATGAAAGCTGTGTAAGAACACTGCCAAACAGCGATTGTCTATGAGCCAGAAACAGAACCCTTACCAGAAACTAAATTTGTTGGCACCTTAATCATGGCCTTTCAGCCTCCAGAACTGTAAGAAAGAAATTTGTGTTGGTTAAGCCACCCAGTTTATGGTATTTTTATATAGCAGTGAATCCCATGCCTGAGGGGGCCCAATATTTACCTGGGATCCTCCAAATTTCTACATAGTGAAGCCAGATGACACAGCAACTCATAAGTTGTCTTAGTTTCAGAATCATCTCCAATGAGATACAGATCTATCATAAAAAGCACACACCTGCTTTCACAGCATGGCTTAAGGGTGAAATTTTCCCTGGACAAAACCAATTTACATTTAATTTATTGCTACCCAGAAGTATGTCTGGCTTTCTGCTTTAGAGGAGATTGTCATGCAGAAAAAGAGGGAAACTCATAAACAACAGTCTATGACAATGTAATAGAGGTGTAGATAGCTTGTTATGGGAGAAAGAAAGACTAACTCATTGGAAATAAAGGAAAAATTTACGCTTAGGGTATTTTTGGGAAAAGTTTACCCTTTCTCACCTGAAAAACAAGACTTCAGGTACTTAAGGTTCTTTGCTGTTATGAGATTTTTATTTTGGCTTACTTAATCAGCCTTAGTATGTTAAAGAGAAGAACCGAAAAACCAATGCAGGATATTCCGATAAAACACAGATACTTGAAAACTTGAGTGGCAGAAATTAGAAGTAAGAAGAAAAGAAAGAAATAAAAAGTGTTTTTAATCAGAAACCCTGAATACTAAACATACTATTTTAGCAGGTTGTAGATATTGTTGAACCCAGCACATGAAGGCAATAGAAACTAACATGTTGAGGGTAGAGAAATAAAAAGAACATAGGCTAGTAAGTGATTTAGGTGCCTCACTTTTATGGCATTCTTTTCCAAGATGGGAATAATGTTGATTTATCCTTTGTGATGTCAGCCCCTAGCACAGTGCCTAGCACATAATATGTGTTAAATAAATTCCAGTCATAGGGATGATGCGCACAAGTACGTGGTTTGCTGAAGAGGGAGCCACTAGGTGGCTGGGCATCCAGGAGAGACCACTCGGACAAATTTAAACAGAGAGGACAGAAAAGACCTTTCATGTACTTTACGTTTTTTACATAAGCCTACATATAGTTCGTTTATATATCCTGGTCCCATATCAAGCCTTAAAATTAATATTTTTTATTTCAGCTTTAATATGCAGTCACTGTAGGCCATGTTAATAAATATTCTTTATTTTAGTAAGTAAAATATTTCTTTTTACCAGGAAAGCTATATGCAGTGAAAACGCTGATAGATTCTCCTAATTGAAACTACATTGCTAGTTATACCCTCGAGTACAGGTCTTATCTCTACTTAATATAGGATGCTAAGAATCATGACACTATTATTAAAATAGAGACACATTATTCTTCAGGTCAGAAAAGAATTGGTATGTGTGACCAAGGGGTTTATACATTACATTTCATCACAACATTGTCATTCTTTTAATATAGTGCAGAACACTAAAAGCTATTGTTTCCATGAATTACAACCCCAAATACTTTCACTCTGCAGATTCATTTTATCAGGATCTCAGTATTATACATCACAACTGTAATGTGTAACATATTTTCAGTACATATCTTTATTGTACGTTATAGGCTAAAGTAGCATAATTATCATTATAGTAAGGTTTTACAAGAGACTTTATGTTTTAATTTTTATGTTCAAAGTTATTTAAGTAGTCACTGCAAGAAGAATCTTAAAAAATACTCATAAGTTATACTATAAAACCAGTCCTTGGAGATTTTAAATTATTTTCAATTTTTAGGGGGTCTTTTATGAGAAGAAATATTTTATCAATAAGGGAGTAAACATTTTCAATGCATGCTCTTCATTTCACATTTTGCTTCAGCTTGCACCAAGTGGTTATTTTGCAGGAAAACAAAACAAAACAAAAAAAATATTAAAGACTCAACTCTGCTGCACTAAAGTAAATCAAAAGCAACTGCAGAAACAAAAAGCTGTTTAAATGCAAAACCTTGCCAACTTTTCTGTCAGGGTATACAACTTTTAAATGGTGTCTAAATATTTTAAGCATAATAAGAAATAGATCTCTAAAACTTATATCGCTATCCACCTCTAGCTTCTGAGATAAATTCTGGCCTGACTAACCATTAGTAGATAATTAGAAATGAAATGGGAGATCCAACATTAACACAGACTTTCTTTTTTTTTGGCTTAGGAGCCTCCTTTATGCAAATTGGTAGGAGACCATTTTCATGCAGTTCTGGCAATCAGTACTTAATTTGTTGATAGCCTTAACAGTTGTGGCCAGAGTATAATTGGTATGGGCCCTTGTGCAAGAAAAATAAATTGGGTTGTGCACAAAACTAAGCAACATAATTACCAACAATTAGACGTTAATTACCAAGTAGCAGATTCTCAAACCTTTCTCCTGAATTTGGCCAAAGCTAGACCTAATTATATTTTTATGTTGTGAAAACATCCATGTGCCTGAGATAATCAGGTGTTCCGAAGGTGCCTTCTGTAGATACTGTGTTTTGTTATGGATTCTCATGTCAGGAAATTAAATATGTTTATATTTGGGCTTATCTAATAATCACAGAAAAGTTAGTGAGGTGGGATTTGTGCTAATTTGGTAGTCATTTATTTACCTTACCTATTTAATTTGATCACTTCTGAAAATACTGATGTAAAAAAGAATGAAAATTATTTTAGGATTATAAAAAGAAAGAACAGAAAGATTTTGCTCAGGCAAAAATAGAGTTTCTCCAAGTATCCTTCACTATAACAAAGAAATCTTTTCCAATATTAGACCCTAGGGGAACACAGCTACAGCCACAGTCTGCATAACAGGTTTTTACTACTAGATGCGACATGAAAAGTATTTATACAAAAAAATTAGCAGATCAAACATTATATTATAACTATGAATGAAAACAGTCTAAGACATTTTTGGGGAACACTAAAAATATGTTGCAGACATTCCTTTTGATCAGAAACATAATAATATTATCAAATTTTAACAGCAAAGCAACATTTACAACAGCATAGCAATATTTACATAGCAAAATAAACATTTTCTTACTTTGTTTTCTATGATCCGAAGACCTGAAACCAAGGTCTAAGAGTTATCCTACCAGGGAGTAGTGGTAAAATCCACTTATTTTCTTACATGTATATTCTAATTATGGCTGGCGGGTTATTCTGTGCTAAGATCACAGGTAAAATTAACATTTTTGCATTCTTGAGGGAATCCACATGTCCCATCGTGTTTTCACTTCAACACATATTTGTTTATTCAATTAGTTAAGAGATACACATACCATTCTCTGAGGAAGATGAGATACAGTTTTCTTCTTTTCTTTTTTACATTAGTCCTCCTGCTTTTTCATCTTCCATTCACTCCCCTGGACTGAGAATTGGAAGTTAATTTTAAAAGTATTTTTAATAGAATGTTATCTACTGGTTTCTTTTCCGTGTTCTCTTATTCTATTTAAATCTCTCTAAGAACTGGGAAGTTATCCGATCTAATGGCCTCTTCAAGGTCTTCATTCTAGACACTGCAGCACTGGATATTTTTGAGATTTTCCTATTTCTTGAAAGCTTCTCTTCCCATGAATTTTATAATATTATTTTATTTATTAATTAAAAATTTAGTGTCTTCTCAATAGTAATCAGCAAAATGTAAAGTTTACCATCATTGAGATTCAAACCCTTTACAATTGGACAACAATCGACCTTATTTGGTACTTGCTTTATACATTCTAATTCTCTCCTTTTTTTTTTTTCCAGATTATAACATGTACTTTCATGTCCATTTACCTGTATCCTTGCATTTTCCACACCTGGCAATGTCCTACATATATTAAACTTCACCAACTCTGTAAAGTTTGGAAGTATTTCTACTGCACAACACTCAACAAACAGACTAAATTATCAGACCATCTAAACAACATTGGATGGATTCTTTCTTGTCTTTAGAATGTCTAGAAAAAGATGTGGAACACCTACATTATGAAATGTGTGTGTGTGTCTGGTGTGTGTGTTTATGATTTTTATTTATTTGTTTTCAACTAGAAGGGCATGCATGTGTTGGACCCATATATGTCTTAGAAAGGTGGGTTGAGTTTTCTAAGACTAGATGAGGTGAGGGTATAGAGAAGAAATAAGATAGCAGAAATTTATTAAATTTTTTTTTTTTTGAGACGTAGTCTCGCTCTGTCGCCCAGGCTGGAGTGCAGTGCCGCGATCTCAGCTCACTGCAAGCTCCACCTCCCGGGTTCACGTCATTCTCCTGCTTCAGCCTCCCAAGTACCTGGGACTACAGGCACCCGCCACCACGCCCAGCTAATTTTTTGTATTTTTAGTAGAGACGGGGTTTCACCGTGTTAGCCAGGATGGTCTGGATCTCCTGACCTCGTGATCCACCCGCCTCGGCCTCCCAAAGTGCTGGGATTACAGGCGTGAGCCACCGTGCCTGGCCTATTAAATGTTTTAACAGTACATTTTTAAATATTACTTAGGATAGTTTTTCCTCCTAAATAACATGTCTGGGTGAAGTATAATCCTAATTTGAGTGGAGCATTGGAGATATTTACAGAAGAAAAGTTGGCTCTCCTTTAAAGTTGGACAAATTGCTATAGTGTGATGGATTACTAGAGAGGAGGAAAAAATGGAAATCATATTGAGTGAAAGTTTTTCTATTTAAGGGAATAAATCAGTAGTATAATTACTTATGTTTACACTAATATTAGTAACTTATAGAGGAGACACTGTAAATTATGATATATAGGTAAGGGATCCATTATTTGGACAGCATAGAAGCACATACAGAAATATAAAGTGGTCTCTCTAAGACAATATTTGAGAGACAAATCTAAGGCTAAATTTAAAGCCTCTTGATTTCAGAACAAAATATTTACTGGCTTCCATTGAGAGTAAAACGAAGAAGAGAGAAAAATTTGAAAAACCAAAACAAAATAATGTTAACAAAAACTACAACATCTATATTGAAGCATTTCATAAAGAACTACTAATTTTGAAAAGAATAATAAAGTGAATGTCTAATTAAATGGCGCATTTTTAAAAGACTTCTTGCAAACACTCTTTTTGCTGTCACTTAAAATTTGTGCTCCTTAGAGAGTGAAAGGAGAGAACCAGGAATCATTAAGCCTAGTACCATAATGAAATACCTGCGTGATGAAACAATCTGTACGACAAGCCTCCATGATGCAGGTTTACCTGTGTAACAAGCCTGCACTTGTACCCCTGAACTTAAAATAACAGTTAAAAAACATTGTGTGCTTATCATAATTTCTTGAAACAAATTGTATATGCAAAACTGTGCCTCTGCATCTGTTAAAATTACCCTGATTGGCCACTTGCATTCTCAGAGAGAAGGGTATAGAGCTAATTGACCTTGCCAGAGACCAAATGTACCTACTGTGTTTTAATTTGGTGTGCAATTCTATGTCTGTGCAAATTTTCTCATGCCAATTATTGCACTTCAAAAAATCTGCATCCTACCAATATCTTTGCAACTGAACAGAAAGAGGAGAGAACATTCTCTAAACAATGCAATTAGAGCAGTATAGGCAATTAACTTTGCTATTTAGTCTAAAGTAGACAGCACTAAAGACAAAGTAATAAATATTCATAAACACTTTACCATTATATGGAATTGCAGAATAGACACACATTTTTAATACACAATACAGGCAGTCATATTATTAAACTTAATGGCATCTGAGGAATGATGAAACTCTAAGAGCCTTGAGCTTGTAATGAGATAAGCTTGTAGCCTGATCAGCTTGCATACAAATCATCTCATCTGAATAAAATTAATGTTTGATTTTTATATCTCTCCTCAAGCACTGCTGTGCCCCCCTATTCATTTTATGAACAATTATTGAAAAGAAAATAAAAGTTTAGCCCTGACATGATATATCAGTGGGAGGGTCTACAAAACATGACATTTTAAGTTCTTATTTCTGGTGTTGAATGTAAAATTTCTTATAGGTTAATAATTGAAGAATGAATTATTGATGCTAAATACAATGTGAGAAATATTTTAAAGCTTTTACATTAATATAGAAACTGTTTATTTTTTAAATTTTTTCATAAAAATGTTTACTTTTAAATTTTTTTCATACTCCTCAATAACAACATGCCTGTATTTAATGTTAAAATGAGTGGTATTCATATATTTAGTTGGGTTTCCATCTGCAAAAAAAGCTATTCCCTCTAAATCCTCATTTTAAAATTATAATATTAAAGGAGATAAATGTGACATGGCTATGTCATTTCAAGATCAGTCAAAATAGAAAAAATATGTACTTCATTTTAACTTATGTAACCAAAGTTTACATTTAAAAGTTTAATTCCAAAGTAAGTTTTCTTGTGTCACTTCTTTTTGAGGTGAGTTCATTTTTACAGTGTTCACTTAAGACAAATTCCAAGCATCTCAGGGCAGGATATTGCCCTCTTCTCTCACATTTTATACAGCGCCTAGTAACATTTAGCATGCCATAGCTATGAAAGAGTAAAAAGCACAAAATCTAAATTTTCACTAAAAATCTTAACTGACAAAGAAAGCTGTAAAGAAATTATCTAAAGTAGATACTCCTTGTGGGTTGATATCTTAGAACATAATTCTTCAACAGGGGTCTCATATTATAGTCATCCAAAACATGACTTACAGTTATTTGAAATATCAGTATGAAAATTTATCTTCAAATACAACATTATGAAGAACTACCATGGTTCTCAATAAAGAGAAAATTTAAGGCATTCATAAATTAAAGAGAGTATTTTAGGAAAAGTAGATAAAATGGTAAATTAAAAACTCAAATTTCTTTCTTGAATTATCCTAGTTTACTATTAGATATTCATTTCACTGTATTTGTGCAGACATCTAAGTCAGTGGTCCCCAACTTTTTGGCACCAGGGACCGGTTTCATGGGAGACAATGTTTTCATGAACTGGGTGGTGGATGGGTGGAAGATGGTTTCAGGATGAAACTGTTCCACCTCAGATCATCAGGCATTAGTTAGATTCTCATAAGAAGTACACAACCTAAATCCCTCTCATGAGCAGTTCACAATAGTGTTCTTGCTCCTGTGAGAATCTAACGCCCCCGCTGATCTTACAAGACATGAACAGACAGTAAAGCTCATTCACCCTCCACTCACCTCTGTCTGTGTGGCCTCATTCCTAACAGGCCAGGGTACCAGTCCGTGGACCAGGGGTTAGGGACTCCTGATCTAAATGACATAACTGAGTATTAAATGGGTTGAAACATATAAGGGCATACAATACTGCCTGGCAAATAATACACGTTCAATAAGTTTTAGTTATTACTCAATAACTGTCCCTGCACTTCCACTCCCTTTAGTACTCTTATGCCCACCAAAAATCACTTGTGTTAGTTTGCATACATGCTTTTTGCAAGCTGAACTTTTCCTTTAATTCAAAAATTATAAAATTTGGAAAGAATCTGCAGTCAGATTCCAAGTTCTATTAAGAGTTCCTTCTTCAAAGAAACAAAACCTGGAAATAGTGGATGGTGCAGTATGTGGTGGTTTATACAGGAAATTGTGTTGGAGGTCTTCAAGATAACTTCAAGCTCAATAATTTGCTTGAAAAACTCACAGGATTCAGAAATCTCCTAGGTTTATGGTTTATCACAGAGAAAATAGAGATTAAAAGCAACAAAGGGAAAAGGTGCAAGGTGCAAGGAAGGAAGTCCAAGAGAAACCAACAGAAGTCACCCCAGGGGTCCTCTCCCAGTGGAGTCTCATGGTGATGTATGTAATCCTTTCAGCAATGATGTGTAACAATGCATGATAAGTGCTGCTAACCAGAGAAGCTCACTCAAGCTTTGGCATCCAGGGTTTTTATTGGGGGTCAGTAATGCAAGCATGCAATGCCAGTGCAATTGAACTCAGCTACTCAGACTCTCCCCTCCCTCAGAGCAAAAACAGGCATTCACCATAAATCACATTCTTAGCATAACCTTTACTGCTCAGACTGGTAAAGCATGTCCCAAGGCCCCAGGTATACAAAAATATTCTTATCAGTAGTATATTTCAAGTTCTCAGAGATTATTTCCTAAGATTCAGTCAAAAGCCAATACCAAAGACAGACCCTTCTTTGGAATGTGCAGTTTGTGAGCAACCAAGACTGCTGAGTTAACCTTTTTCTGCCTGAAATTACAAAATGGAAGTGAAATCAGTGCCCCAGAACACACAGCGGAAAAAAAAAATGTTGACACTGGCCGGGCGCGGTGGCTCACAACTGTAATCCCAGCACTTTGGTAGGCCGAGGCGGGTGGATCACGACGTCAGGAGATCAAGACCATCCTGGCTAACACGGTGAAACCCCGTCTCTACTAAAAATACAAAAAAATTAGCCGGGCATGTTGGCAGGCACCTGTAGTCCCAGCTACTTGGGAGGCTGAGGCAGGAGAACGGCGTGAACCCGGAGGCGGAGCTTGCACCATTGCACTCCAGCCTGGGCAACAGAGCGAGACTCTGTCTCAAAAAGAAAAAAAAAAATGGACACTATGTGTAAAGATTAGAGAATAAGTGAATGAACACATCCATATGTTTTATTTAAATAAAATCTTGTTACCTAATTGTAATCTTTAAAAATATCATGTTTTAATTACTTTTCTGACTAACTGAACAATTTCAGTAATCCAGGTGGCTCTTTCAAAATTGAGCATGGCTCATAGTCATGGCTTATGCCCTGGTTTATGCTTTAATGCCCTGGCTCCTAAGGCAGAGCCTTAACGTTGTTCCTATCACTAAGGCTATTCTATAACCTTGTTTTCTTCAAATTCCTGTATGACAATTTAAGGCTGTGGGCCAGATGTCCCAGCTTGGTATACTAACTTATGTGATCCAGTCTGTCTTCCTGGTCCCACACCTGACACCATGCTTACATCTATCAAGTTCAGCAATCCTGTTGGTACAACGACTTGTTGCTGGAACTCCCTGAGAGTGCCTTCCTGAGCTGCCACTCTCACTCTAACACCTCCATCCCCGCTGTGTCACTTGACAGATGGGGCTCCTTCCAAATCCCTGTAATTTTTCCTCAGGCTTTACCCTATCATGGTAAGTAAGCTTATTGTCTTAGTCTGTTTGTGCTGCTATAACAAAACATCTGAGACTGAATAGTTTATAAAACCAGAAATTTACTTCTCACAATTCTGGAGGCTAGAAGTCCAAGATCAAGGCGCTGGCAGGTTCAGTGTCTGGTGAGAACCTGACCTCTGCTTCCAAGATGGTGCCTCGTTGTGTGTCCACTAGAGGGGCAAATGCTGTGTCTCACATAGCAGAACAGTGGAGGAAAGCAAAGGCACTCCCTCTAGCCTTTCTATAAGGGCCATAATTCCATCCCTGAGGATTCTGCCCTCATGACTTAATCACCTTCTAAAGATCTCACATCTTAATACTATTGTACTGGTGATTCAGTTTCAACATTTCAATTTTGGGGAGCACATTCAAGCCACAGCACCCACACTGCTTCCATGTCCTCACATGGATTTCTCTTTTCCCATCGTATATCACACAGGGCTACTCTATTCATAGAGAAATCTATCTTTTATTCACATGACATGCATTCAACAAGTATTTAGTGATTTAGCAAGTGGCCATTACATACCAGGTACTGTTCTATTAGGAAATATGAGAGTATGTAGTTCTAGCCAAGTAATGTCCTTGTTAACACATATGCATTTTTGTGAAACACACAAACCCAAAGATAAAGTCCAAGTCTTTCCCTTAATAAACAAAAAAGGGTCAGAATATAGAAATGACTTCCAAAGTATCCTCTCTTGCGTTTTTTTTCCTTTCAGTCATCCGTGGGTCTATCTGTGCTTTAATAATGCTTCCAATCCAGTTCAGATCACTTTTCAGTCCTACCAATAATATTACACCCTGATCCTGATAGTACAAACTGTTACATTTTCCACTTCACAGATCCCAATCTGCACCACTGATTATGAAACAAATATTCTTTGTTCCTGAATGACTGTAGATGTGGTGGAGAGTACCAAAGGGTCACAGCCTCTCTCACACTAAAAACAAGAATAAAGCAGTGAGTTGCCCTCTCTCAATTCAAACAGCTGTAAACCCAACAAGTACATGGCCTCTAATTCTCCTACTCCTGGAGGAAATCTCTTGACTGCACTTACATTTAGGCCACTAAGGAGAAAAAACCTACCCTCAAATGAATATATCAGCACACAATAGAAATACACAACAAAGTAAAATATTTAATAAATTGTTTGAGGTAAATCATGAAAGTATAACCCTAAAAACCCCAAAATAGACATAGCATTGAATCCTTTGAAGACTCAATTTACAGTCCATCTCATGTGTTCAGTTATAAGTTACGAAAACAGTTACCTCTAAAATATTGTTAAATAATCAAATGGGTCCATGATATGGTTTGGCTGTGTGTTCCCACCCAAATCTTATCTCTCATTGTAATCACCATGCATCCAGGTAGGGACCTGTAACCTGCATGTGTCAAGGGAGGGAAGTGACTGGATTGTAGGGAGGTTTACCCCATGCTGTTCTTGTGATAATGAGTGAATTCTCATGAGATCTGATGGTTTTATAAATAACACTTTTTCCTGTGCTCTCACTTCTCTTTCCTGCTGCCTTGTGAAGAAAGTGCTTGCTTCTCCCTTTGCCTTCTGCCATGATTGTAAGTTTCCTGAGGCCTCCTCAGCCATGTGGAACTGTGAGTCAATTAAACCTCATTCCTTTGTAAATTTCCCAGTTTGGATATTTCTTTACAGCAGTGTGAAAATAGACTAATACACTCCCCATGCTCCATTCTTATTGTGAGCATTTTTTTCTTTCTCTGAAAATTAACTTTATACCAAAAAATAGATTATGATGTTATAGATAAAAACATTTCAGGGATGTAGAACATTATCAATCAAAAGACGCTGAAAAGAGAAAAGGAAAGTTATAGGGATTCATATTGGGACAAAACACATTTACCATCACAAAGTAGAACTTGCTTGGTATTGAGTACTTTTTGAGTACATTCCAAAGTTCATTACCATGAATTGTATTTGAGAAAGTGGAAGGCAGTTCTCTGGGTGGCCTTGGACTGACCCAGTTCTCCCCCCACCATTTCTTGCTTATAGTTCTCAAGAATAAGTATGAAATAGGCTGGGAATTCAACATCCTGAGGTAAGGGGGAATTGGCCAGAACAGCCCGGGCTTTGTTTCAGTCTACCCTGGAAATGAGATGTTCGTTAATGCTGTAGCCTCTGACGGTGAGGCATTGTCCCTTAGGTATATAATTGGGAGTGGGCTGCCTTTCAGGGTCCCTCAGCTCCGGTGTAAGTCAGGCAAGTGCAGGCAAAATACCATTCACTGTGGTCAGCTTTTTTGAGCCTTGGTGAATCCTATGCTTCTGTTGTCCCTCACTGCCTATCTGTAAAAAATAAACTTGCTTCTTGTAACTTCTTTTGTGTGTGGATGTTCTCTCTCACCAGGCTGAGATCAGTTGGTAACCTGTGCACAGTGAATCTGCCCAACGGAAATGGACCTATTGGTTCTCACATTATACTTTAATTGCAATTTTAGCCACATCTAGATCAAAAAAAAGATAAATAAGTGAATTTCGTTTTTGGCACACCAACCATTTTCTGCATCAAGAACCTTACTTTTATGCAGAGCTTAGCAATATCTAGTACTTCATCTGTATCAATTTTTCATTTTATCTACAATTACGTGTTGAGAGCTTCCCACGTGCCTGATCCTGTTCCAGATACTGAGGAGACTGTGCCGAATCAGACAGATAAGACAGCTATGTCCATGGAGCTCATATTACGGTGGAAATAAGACCAACAAATTAAAAAGTAAGCTATAAATGTGTGTGTTCTGAAGAAAATAAAGTGGGATGGCATGATAGAGAGTAATGAGAGAGTGATAATTTAAATTAAGTGGTCAGGGATGGCCTCTATTAAGAGTTGATATTTAAACAAAGGTACAAATAGAAGATGATCCTGGATGTGAGAATTACGGGAAGAGGGAATTAACTATTTTTCAGGTAGGGAAGAGCTAGGAGAATTTAGAAACCAAAAATATCAATGTGGCTGTAGTACAGTGAATATGTAGCAGAAATCATAAAAGATGAACTTCGCAAGTTAGTTCAGAGCCAGTTCATAGAACTTTGTAGGCAACGGAAATAATTTTGTATCAAAGTATAATGAATAGCCATTAGATGGTTTAGACATGTGTGTGGAAAATGGATGGGAAGAAATGAAGTTTGGAAGCTATGGTGCAGCAGTAATATGAGTAAGAGATGATGGCACCATGGAATAGAAGGCATAGTAATAGAAAAAATACAAAATAGATACATTCGTAATGTGGTTTAGGTGCTCTAAACAGGACATGATTATGGTAGTCTGTGGGTTTAAAGGAAAATAAATAATTAAAGGATCAAAGATGATCTTAGATTTGGGGCTTCAGTACATGGAGAGATGGTGGCATTATTTACTGATATGCAAAGGTATGAAGGAGCAGGTGGAGTGCATTTGTGTGTTTCAGAAATGTTACAACAGATGACACTGCTAGATTGCCAACTGGAAATATCAAATAGGTGAAAACAATTATTTATATATTCTATATAATTTTGTATTTGTGTATGTCTCTAAACTTATGTGTGTATGTACATATACACACAAATTATGGTGAAAAAAAGGTAAGAAAAAATATTCTAAAGTTGGAAATGGGGAAAAGAGACACTTGGTGTTCTTTTAATCCAGTGCTGGCCTTGACTTTCTATTAACTAGGCCATTTTCCAACTCTGTAGGGATGGAGGCTAACTTACACATTTGCTGTTGCTATTGTGTAAATATGAATATCATTTTAGTCTAGTGAAATAAAAAAAGTTACAGCATATTGCCCTGTAAAATATTAACCAGTTTTGTCTCCAACCTGGAAATCTTAAAATTTCTTTATTAAATTGCATATTATATTAATACATGCATACATGTACACATATATAAACACACATATATATACAGTTATTTTCTCATATGCTCTTTGGGTCAGTTTCAATATCTTGCTATTAATTAATGAGTTAAACAGAATCTTTGGCATGTGTTCATTTCATATTTGCCAGAGATTATTGTGTTTATCTTTTTGAAAATTATAATTAAATAGATATGAAGGTTAACATATTAATCTGAGAGTCACTGACATGTGGATGATAGCTATGAAACTGATGAGATTACATTTTATTTTTCTTTGAGGCGGAGTTCTGCTCTTGTTGTCCAGGCTGGAGTGCAATGACACAATCTCGGCTCACCGCAACCTCCGTGTCCCAGGTTCAAGCGATTCTCCTGCCTCAGCCTCCCGAGTAGCTGGTATTAAGGCATGCACCACCACGCCTGGCTAATTTTGTATTTTTAGTAGAGATGGGGTTTCTCTGTGTTGGTCAGGCTGGTCTCAAACTCCCGATCTCAGGTGAGCTGCCCACCTTGGCCTCCCAAAGTGCTGGGAATACAGGTGTGAGCCACCGCGTCCAGCTAAGATTACATTTTTTAAAAGTACAGAAAAACATGTGAGAATAGTTTTGGTTCCAGAGTATAAGGAACATAAATATCATTTCACTATTTGTTTAGAAAAACTCTATAAGGTTTTGTTATGTTCATTTTTCATTTTTCTACTGAGTAAATTATGGCTCAGAAAACTTGGCTCAGGGCTTTGCATCTAAAAAATGTTAGAAAGCAAATGCAGCCCTGGTCAGTTTAACTCAAAAATTTATTTTTTCCACAAGAGCAAGATAATTCTCCAGAAGAAAATAGCTTAATTTTTTTTAAATAAAGCTAATGGGCAATTTTGGCAATTTCCCTTCTCTTTATTCCCATCCCCCTCCTGGTGTGTGTGATTGCTATAATTTAGGCCCTGGATACTGCAGAAATATTTCTTAACCTGTATAATCTCACCCTAAAGAGCCACTTCAAAATTGGTAAGTATAGATCATGTCAGAAATGCAAGTACTATCATGATATAAGGCATTTTGCTTTAGGCAAAATATGAAAAAAAACAGTTTACACATATTGCAATATTTTTAATATATACATTTATAATTTTTTTTAACGGAAAGTGCATTCATGAACTAAGTAGATGATTACATTTTCCTCTTTTTAACTTAGGACTTTCCATTTTGTAATTATAAGTAAATGCATAACGACCATCGGTCGATCCTGAATCTAAAAGTATAATCAATTACATCCATATGGAATTTAAAACATAATAACTTTAAAGTATTACTTCTTTAAGTGAAATAATTCAAAATGAGATTAAAGGCAATGCTTAAAGAACATATTATGTAATGCAAATTAAATGTGTCATTATTACCCTATTATTCACCACATTTTTAATATGCATGTTCTTGTTATGCAGGTAGATAAAAATCATTTTAAAGAGCATAGAAAAATAATAAATCCCCTGTTATTAGTCAGTTTTTACACTGTTATCAACAACTACCTGAGATTGGGTTATTTATAAAGAAAAGAAAAAAAAAGAAAAGAGATTTAATTGATGTACAATTCCACATGGTTTTGGAGGCCTCAGGAAACTTACAATCATGGAGGAAGGTGAAGGAAAAGAAAGACACATCTTACATGGTGGCAGGAGAGAGAGAGTGGGCGAAGAAGGACGTGCCACACTTTTAAACAACCAGATATCCTGAGAACTTACTATCATGAGAACAGCGTGGGGGAAACGGCCCCCATAATCCTATAACTTCCCATCAGGCTCCTCCTCCGACATGTGGGGATTATAATTCCAGATGAGATTTGGGTGAGGACACAGAGCCAACCATATCACCCCTCTATGACTTATACAATTCAGTAATAAAGAATATTAAACAACTGAAAAATATACTTTATTCAAGAAGCAGCAATGATTGAAAGTGATTGAAAATAATAAATCATATTGCCCAAATGAAAGTTTTAAAATATAATACCAATTATATTGAAAACGATACATTTAGCTAGATGTTGGATCATTACTTTACATATATATATCTCCTTCTAATAAATCACAACCCTTTGAGGGCAGGCAAGGATCATAATGATACTCATCTGTGAGTTTCCAGAGCACATAGGGAGACTCTCATACAAATACATTAATGTAGTCTATGTCCTACATATCATAAATCCATAGCCTAAATCTTACTAGAACTCTAAAAATATAACATTACAGAATAAAATTCAAATTTTGACCATTTTTTACCTTTTAGAGATGTTTACTAATTATTTTTTAACCATTATGCATTATTAAAATAAAGCAAATCAAGGTTGGAATTTGGCTGCTCTAAACTAGGCATAAAATATTGAAATATAATTGTTAAAGGTATGGAATATGTAAATGTTCAATACAATAAATAAGCAAAAATTTAAAAACTGTAACTTTATTTCTTCTTCTTATTTCATGTCTTTATTTTAAAAGAATCAACAACACAGAACCAGATGCTGAAGGTCTATAATGCTTTATTCCCATTTAGGTGAACTGTAAACTATTGCATATAATGTGAAAAATTCAAACTAGGGAATTTTATAAAAACAATGAAGGTCATATGTAAGTTACACCATTAGAGAAAATTAAATATCTAAAGTTTACTGTAATTATTCACAAGTTATAATTAGATTATACCTCCTTGGTTAGCTATATTCCTAGATATCTGATCTGCTTTGTGGCTATTGTAAGTGGGATTCTTTTCTTGATTTCACTCTCAGCCTAGACGGTGTTAGTGTGTGGAAATGTTACTGAATTTTGTACCCCTATTTTGTATCCTAAAGCTTAACTAAAATTGTTTATCAATTCTAGGAGTCTTTAGGCAGAATACAGGATTTTCTAGGTATAGGATCATATCCTCAGCAAAGAGAGATAGTTTGACTTATTTTCCTATTTTGGTGGATTTTATTTATTTTTCTTGCCTGACTGCTCTGGCTAGGACTTCCAGTACTATGTAGAATAGAAGTGGTGAGAGTAGGCATCCTTGTCTTTTTCCAGTTCTCAAGGGAAATGGTTTGAGCTTTTACTCATCCAGTATGATGTAGTCCGTGGGTGTGTCATGCATAGCTGTTATCATTTTGAGGTATGTTCCTTTGATGCCTAGTTTCTAGAGAGTTTTTATCATGATGGGATGCTGGATTTTATCACATCATTTTCCGAGTATTGAGACGATTATATTGTTTGATTTTTTTATGCAGTGAATCACATTTATTGATTTGCCTATGTTGAACCCGCCTCACATCTCAGGAATAAAGTCCAGTTGATCATGCTGTATTAACATTTTGATGTGCTGCTGGATTCAATTTGCTACTTTTTTTTTTTTGAGGATTTTTGTGTCTATGTTCATGAGGGATTTTAGTCGGTAGCTTTCTTTTTTCATTGTGTCTCTGCCAGATTTTAGTATCAGGCTGATGCTGCCTTCATAGAAAGGATTAGAGAGGAGCCCCTCCTCCTCAACTTTTTGGAATGATTTTAGTAGAATTGGTATATTTTTTTTCTTTTTATACATCTGGTAGAATTTGGCTGTAAATTCACCTGAACCAGGGCTTTCGTTATGGTTAGCAGGTTCTTTATTACTGATTCAGTTTCAGAAGTTGATACTGGTCTATTCAGGGTTTCAATCTCTTCCTCATTCAATCTTGGGAGATTGTGTGCTTCCAGGAATTTACCCATTTCCTCTAGATATTCTAATTTATGTGCATAGTTGTCCACAGTCATCTCTGAGTATATTTGGGTTCTGAGGATGTATTTGTGGGGTCAGTTATAATATCACCTTTGTCATTTCTGATCGGGCTTTACTTGGGTCTTCTCTTTCTTTCTCTTTGTTCATATAGCTAGGAGGCATATCAATCTTATTTATTTATTTGAAAAACCAATTCTTGGTTACGTTGATCTTTTTATAGATTTTTACGTCTCAATTTCATTAAGTTCTTTTCTAATTTTAGTTATTTATTTTCTTCTGCTAGCTTTGGAGTTTATTTGCTCTTTTTTTCTAGTTCCTTTAGGTACAAAGTTACATTGCTAATTTGAGATCTTTCTGTCTTGACAAAGGCAGTTAGGACTACAAACTTTCCTCTTAACACTGCTTTTGCTGCATCCAAGAGATTTTGGTGAGATTTTTCCCCTGTTTTCATATATTTCAAAGACTTTTTTATTTCTGCCTTAATTTCAATGTTTGCTCAGCAGTTATTTAGGAGCAAGCTGTTTAATTTCCATGTATTTGTGTAGTATTGGGAGATTTGTGTAGTATTGGGAATATTGTGTAGTATTAAGAAATCAATAGGTATTGATTTCTATTTTCATTGCACCGTGGTCTAAGAGTGTACTTGGTATGATTTCAATTTGCTTTGAATGTATTGATGCTTGCTTTATGAGCGAGCATGTGATCAATCTTAGAATATGTTCTGTGTGCAGATGAGAAGAATGAGTATTCTGTGGTCATTGGGTGGTGTGTTTTGTAGATGTTTCTTAGGTCTAATTGGTCAAGTGTCAAGTTGAAGTCTAGAGTTTCCTTGTTAGTTTTCTGTCTCAATGATCTATTTAACACTGTCAGTGGAGTGCTAAAGTCTCCTACAATTATTGTGTGGTTTTCTAAGTCTTTATAGGCCAAGAAGAAGTTGTTTTATAAATCTGGGTGCTCCAATGTTGGATGCATATATATTTAGGATACTTAAGGCTTCTTACTGAATTGTACCCTTTATCATCAAGCAATGTTCTTCATTGTCCTTCTTAATTTTTACTGGTTTGAAGTCTGATTCATCTAATATAACATTACCAACTCCTGCTTTTTTGTGTGTTTTCTATATGCATGTATATCTTAATCTACTCTAACTTTTAGCCTGTGGGTGTCATTACATGTGAGATGAGTTTCTTGAATACAACAGATGGCAGAGTCAAGACAAATAAATGGGAAAACATTCCATGCTCATGGATTGGAAGAATCATTATTGTAAAAATGGCCATGCTGCCCAAAGCAATTGACAGATACAATGCTCTTTCTTTCAAACTACCAACATAATTATTCACGGAATTAGAAAAAATGATTCCAAAATTCACATGTCACCAAAAAAGAGCCCAAATAGCCAAAGCAATCCTAAGAAAAAGAACAAAACTTCAGCTATCACAGTACTTGACTTCAAACTGTACTATAAAGCCACAGCAATCCTAACAGATTGGTACTGCTACCAAACACAGACACATAGACCAACAGATCAGAATTTTAAAAACTCAGAAAGAAAGCCACACACCTACAACCATTCTTTGACAAGGCTGACAAAAAAAGGCAATAAGAAAAGGAATCTCTATGCAATAAATGGTGCTGGGATAACTGGCTAGCCATATGCAGAAGATTGAAGCTGGACCCTACCTTTCACCATATACAAAAATTAACTCAAAATGGATTAACGATTTAAATGTTAAAACCTGAAACTATAAAAATCCTGGAAGACAACAAAAGACATACTCTTCTTGACACTGGCCTTGGTAAATAATTTTTGGCTAAGTTCACAAAATCAATTGCAATAAAAACAAATAGACAAGTGGGACCTAATTAAACTAAAGAGCTTCTGCATAGCAAAATAAACTATCAACAGAGCAAACAGACAACTTACTGAATGGGAGAAGATATTTGCAAACTAGGCATTCGACAAAGGCCTAATACTCAGAATCTATAGGGGACTTAAATCAACAAGCAAAGAATAACCTCATTAAAAAATGGGCAAAGGACATGAACAGACATTTTGCAAAAGAAGACATACAAGCTGCCAACAAACGCATGAAAAAATGCTCAGCATCACTATCATCAGAAAAACGTAAATCAAAACTACAATGAGATACCATCTCACACCAGTCAGAACAGCTATTATTAAGAAGTAAAAAACAAGAGATGCTGGTGAGGCTGCAGAGTAAAGGGAATACTTACACACTGTTTATAGTAATGCAAATTGGTCCTGCCACTGGAAAGCAGTCTGGAGATTTCACAAATAACTTAAAACAGAGCTACCTTTTAACTGAGCAATCCTATTACTGGGTGTATACTCAATGGGAAATAAATCATTCTACCAAAAAGACACATGCACTCACATGCTTATTGCTGTACTATTCAAAATAGCAAAGACATGAAATCAACCCAGGTACCCATCAATAATAGACTGGATAAAGAAAATGTGGTATGTGTACACCATGGAACACTATGCAGCCATAATACAGAATGAAATCATGTCTTTGCAGCATCATGGATGGAGCTGGAGGCCACAATCTTAAGCAAATTAATGAAGGAAGAGAAATCCAAATACCACATATCCTTACTTACGAGTGGGAGCTAAACATTGGATACACATGGACATAAATATTGGAATAATAGAGAGTAGTGACAACTAGAGGGTGGAGGGGGAGTGAGTTAAAAAAACTACCTATTGGGTACTATGCTCATTATTTGGATGATGGGATTCATAATCCAAACCTCAGCATCATACAACATTCCCATGTAACAAATCTATACATGTACTCCCTGTATCTAAAATGAAGGTTGAAGTAAAAATTATAATAATAATAATAGATTATAAAGCCTTTAATATGTCAGGTCAACAAACAGCTATTGACAGCAAATATATCATTAGCAAATGTTGTTAACTAGGAAAGCAAATATTCATTAAAATAAATTAAATTTGCATAGAAGCTAAATAACTTGTTAGTTTTAATGGTTTTATCTACATCCAAAAATAATTGGAAGTTTCTCCTATCACCAATACTTTGTGGGACATTCTACTCAGATTTTCCACAAATGTAGAAACCAAACCTTATTTCCAAATACTATATGCTTAGTTCTTAGGATAAAAGTTGTATAGCTATATTAAATTAATGCATGTCTGTTATACCCACATAGAGCCTCTGATATCAGTAAGTCTGGGATGGGCCCTAGAAATCTGCATTTCAAATCTCATGAAAATCTGATTCCAGTACTCTGCAGAGCCTTCTGTGAGTAAAATCGCTACAGTCAGTACCTAAATTCTGCCTTTACCAGAAAGCTTCTGCACACACTTTTCTCATGATATTGACATTATAGAACAACAATTAGAAATCATCCTCCCCCCCTTTTTTTTCTTTTTGAGACAGGGTCTCACTCTGCCACCAAGACTGGAGTGCAGTGATCAAACCTACTGCAGGCTCCAATTCCTGGGTTCAAGCAATCCTTCTGCCTCTCGAGTAGCTAGGACCACAGGCGCACACCACCATGTTAGGCCAATTTTAAAAACTTTTTGTAGAGACAGGTCTTGCTATGTTACACAGGCAGGTCTTGAACGACTGTCCTGAAGCAATGTTCCCACCTCAGCCTCCAAAACTGCTGGGATGATAGGAGCGAGCCACTGTGCCTGGACAATAATCAAAATTTCTTAGAAAACCAGACCTTCTCCATTTCACAAACTTTTATATCATTAACAATGATCCTTTGACTAGAACATAACAGATTTTTTTTTGTTGAAGTATTGAATAAATCCATGTTATCACTAGATCAGTCTTTTAAATAAAATTACTGCTTTAAACAGATCATTCTCTACATAAGAATGCTTAATAAAAAATACAACTTTATGAAATTCTAACTGGATAACGTGAAACATTTTTGAACTACATGGAATAAGACATCACATGAACCACTGAACCCTTATTTGTACCAAGGTTGTGTTTCACAATTCCATAATTTTCATCTATCAATCAATTTATATTTTGCAAATCCTTATTAGGAAACTTAATTCATCATAACCCTTTCTCATATGATACTTTAAAATCTTATTGTAAAAGACATATATGCACATAAAGATATGAAAGTATGCAAGATAGTAGATAGCAAATTTGTAGTTTTATATATTTACATATGTGCAGTAGAGGGCAGTTAGCATACCTGAGTTGGTTTTAAATGATAGTTAGAATTAAATAAGCAAAGAGGGAAGAAGGGTTTTATAGACATGGTGAGTGAAATATAAGAATGTCAGATGCCTTTGAGAGTAAATCAAATTGACAAAAACAGAAGGTTTATAGAGAGTTAAAGTGTGAAATAAGTTTTAAAGGACAGCTTTTAAAAGGTAGCTGTGTTTTAAGAGACTTATGTCTACCAGGCTGAAAGATCTGAAGTTTAATCTATGGGCTCTGTGTTTCCTTGATGATTTTGGTAAAGGTAAGTTGCCAGCAAATTGATGTGAATTAGGTGATGTCCAATATCTTTAAAATTGAAAATGAAATACTTTGCAAAACTGAAACGCATGTATTTTACTATTTAATCATACATATTTAATCAATAACTGTTTACTGCATACTGAGTCTATGCTGTGCACTCTGCCAAGCAATGGGGGTGCAAAGTTGAGCAATAACACGTACATAAGATTTAAAGTCTAATGGGACAGATAGACATTAATCAACTAGTCACTAAATAGTCAAACTATTCTAACTGGTAATTTTTCTATGGAAGAGTGTATGATGTTTTATGAGCACATGTTAGGGATGGTTTCTCTGAATAAGTGACTTTGAGTTCAGTTCTGAATAAAAAGATTAGGGCAGAGATAATTATGGGCAGAAGAAGGAGCATGTGCATTTGTTTGATGGGCCACAGAGCACGGTACCCTTGGGGATTTGAAAAAAATGCTACTGTTGCAGAGTGTGAGGGTGAGACAAGTTATGTTGCTAGAGAGGAAGGCAGGAGCCCACTTAGCAGGGCAATTTAGGCCATTTTAATGAGATTGGACGTGAAAAGACCACTGGTGGTGAGGATTTATTAAAATCCCTCAATTTCTGCTAGTAATTGAAGGATTTTAATAAAATGTTGACATTGAACTAAAAAATTCATTTAGGCTAAAATGTAGGAAGGGAATATTGAATATCTGGGACATATGGTTGTTAAAATGAGTAGTCCATTCAGGTTTAAAATGATATTAAATTTTGAATATGATAATTTGGTAGATAGGAACAATGAGGCAGATTTAAAGGATGTTTAGAATAAACCTTAGTCACATATTGGCTATTGGAAGTTAGAAAAAAAGGGGATTTCAATGATAACAACTAGGTTTTAAGCTAGGATAATTAGATTGATTATGGGCTGATTCATTAAGACAACTAAATACATATATAAAATAATTAATGTAGATATAAATAATGCATTTGTTGACAACATCACAAATATATGTAGTTAATATACTCTTTAAAAATTAAACATTCCACACACACATAAATTATGGGTTCTCTTTTTTAATATCACATGTAATCTAAGCATAATTTTAGAACAGTTTATTGTTTTACATGTATTTTGTTAACACATTATCCTACAGTATATTCTTATGAATATCAAAGTCTGTCTATGAGCTAAACATTTTGTTTCTTCCAAAGTATTTCCATTTGTTCATATGTTCACAAAGGAAACTGTTTAGGTGAAGCTTCACAATATATTCAAGTATGTGGTAGGACAATTCTTTCTTCATTATTCTCAAATTACCTTTTGCTTTCATAGGCTGGTCTATTATTTAAATCACTTTGAGAATTTTATTGTCAAGTGCTACTAAAATTGCCAATGGAATTTTAACTGAAATCAATTTAAAACGATGATATAAATGAGAGATATTTGATATTTTTATACAATATTCTATTTCTCAAACTTATTTTGACATGAAAAACACTATAATTAGAAAATGTAATGGTAGACAACTCATATTTATTATTTAATTAATAAAACGGGTAGCTTCATTTGTTTTTCTAAGTGCATAAAATTGTGATACAGAAAGAATTTTAGTGGACATAGTAGAGCTGATCCTGGCTTCATCAATGTCAACATTTGAAACAGCTAAATGCTTGTAGATTATTGCATATGTAAAAATCACCAAATTTAAAATTTAAGCAGTGTCTAAATCACGCTCTTAATTTTGAAAGTGTACTATGTATGCAAGAAAATAAATGTGCTTTAAGAATCTGCATGCTACTTTGCTGTCTGCAACTTGTTACTTTTATTATCTTTGAGTCATATCTAAAATTATCTACATGTATTGAAAATTGAGGAACAAGTAGACCACATATATAGAAGTATAGTCAACTGTAATAAATTTAAAATATTTTGACAGGTTGAAAACCATTTACAAAATTATTAAGATAATAAAATGCATCTTAAATTCTAAACTATTACTGATTCCATACATGATGTAGAATTTCCAAGGTTGAATTTTACTTCTGAAAGGGAAAAACAAACAAACAAACAACAACAACAACTATGTACTAGAATAAAATTTGACTACTAAGCCGGGTGGGTGCGGTGGCTCACGCCTTTAATCTCAGCAGCTTGGGAGGCCAAGGCGGGCAGATTGCTTGATGCCAGGAATTTGAGACCAGCCTGGCCAGTATGGCGAAACCCCATCTCTACTAAAATTACAAAAATTAGTTGGCTGTGGTGGCGCAGGCTTGTAATCTCAGCTACTCGGGAGGCTGAGGCATGAGAATCATTTGAAACCAGGAGTCAGAGGTTGCAGTGAGATGGGATCGTGTCACCACACTCTAGCCTGGGAGACAGTGAGAAGGTCTCAAAAAAAAAGTCTATTAAATAACTATGGTTAGACATTTCTTAACATATATGGTGTAACAATACGTGAAAATCTAAATAATCCTTACCTTCCTATCCTTCTATAAGTATCACTGCAGCACATTATATAACGTACATAAAAAATTAAATAAAGCAAAATAACTCAAACATGTAAAAAGAATAACTCATGAAAATGATGACCAATATTCATATTAACACGATAAAGTAAAAGACAGCCAACTTGAAATATTAAACTTATATTTGGCAAGTATGCATAATTATGAAATAATATATTTAACTTCATTTGCTGACTTTGAATTAAAATTATATACCTTATATTTTGGTAAATTATCTCATATACTTTAGTTCTCTCAACAACCCTGCTTATGAAGAAATGAAGACTATTGAGTTTATGTGAAGTGCTTAAAGTGACACTTCTAGAAAGACACAAATACAAGACCTAAAACTAGGTTTCTTATTCTATCAACAAAGCTCATTTACTCAATAATTACTCTATGGCAAGTTTGGTGTTGAAAAACACATTTCCACTAAGAAATGTTTACAAATGAGACAATAACTCAATAATCATGATAGTTATAGTCATACAAAATTGTACATTTGTTGAGGTCAGAAATTATTTCTTCTTTTTCAGTTCACAGTATTTATTACAAATGTTTTGAGAAGCACTGATGTAGATGGTGGTTAATAATTGTTTATTGAATTAGGCAACACAATGAAACCTCATTAGTTTAAACTAAATAGAGAAAGCTTAATCTGAATCAGTGAATATCTTAGTCTGTTTTGTGCTGCTATAACAGAATACCACAAACTGGACAATTTATAATGAACAGAAATTTATTTGGCTCACAGTTCTTGAGGCTGAGAAGTCCATGATTGATTAAGAGGCTGCATCTGGTGAGGACCATCCCATAGCAGAAGGTTTAAAGTAAAGAGAGCAAGCACAGTTACATACAAGAAAGAGAGGGGCAAACTCACTTTTATAAAAGTCCACTCTCTGGAGCCCATTCCTGAGATAACAATATTAATCGATTCATAAAGGCAGAGTCCTCATGACCCAATCACCTCTTAAAGGTCCCTCCTATCAACACTGATGCATTGAAGGTTAAATTTCAACACATGAACTTTGGAGGACCCATTCAAACCACAGCAGTGAACATTTTCAATTTAAGACTATCTTCTTAAAAGCGTAACTAAGTTCTACCAAAACATTTATTTCAAAAAATCTATGAGCTACCTCTTGAGTCAAATAGTGAATAAGGTATGCTGTCTTCTGCCAGTGAGCACACAACCTAGCTCAAGTATGTTAAGTGTTATGATAAAAGTTTTCATAAGAAGGTAGACCAACTAATGCCTTTTAATGGTAAAACTAATTGGATTTAAATATTCAAAAGTCAGTGTTCTCTTTATCAAATATCATTTGTGATAAATTTAGAATTTATTCAAGAAATATTCAAAATAGCACTGTTTTATAGTTATAAATCCCTTTTGTTCAAGTACAAATCTGTATAAATTGTCTCTTTTCATGTGCGCATATAGCACAAGTCAAATTAACTCTAGTTTAGTCTCAACTGGGACACTTAAACTCCCAACTACAAAGTTATCATGTTAAATTACTGAATTACTTCTTGAGAAATTATCACCAGTAATGAAACAAATCAAGACATGTGCCTTCCAATATGATGTACAGCATCACTTATTCAGCATTTTTTTCAGTTACCATAATTAGAAAATTATTATGACATAAAATTACCCAAATTCATATTGAGAGATATTGTATAAAGCTGCTATGAACTCTTCAAAAATGTCAGTGCCAAAGATAGAAAACAAAAAACAAACAAACAAAAAACCAGAAAGATTCAGGAAGTATGTGAGACTGAAAGAAATTAAAATAGGATAACTGACTGCAATGCATAATTCTGAATTTTCCTGTTCAGTAAAGGACGTTATTGAGACAAATGGAGAAATTAATAAAATCTGTAGATTAGATTATCATGTTGTAAAGGTGTTAATTTTGTTGTACTGTGATTATGTGTTTTCCACTGTTCCTGATGCCTAGACAAAAAGAGTGGATGAAACCATGTGAGAATTTAGTAAATACAGATGACCTGACATGCAGTGTCTGAGGTAATATTTTTATATTTGCTTCAGAAAACAAAAGAGTCTTTTCTTTTGCTGTAGTCCAGGTCCCGTACCATTACAGCTTCTTTTCCTTCTTGGCTGAGTACAATCTTATGAAATCTAAGTAGCATCAATAACTATGTTCTTGATTGTTTGTATCGCTTTGTGTACTTTTTAAAATGAGTTTCATGTTGGAGATAAGATTGTAAAAAAATGTGGGGGAAAACTGCCCCCAAAACATGTCAAAGTCTCTTGATAAATTCAGGCGCCAGAAGTTTTCTCAATCTCTTATTATCTGAGTATCTTACTCATTAATAAATAGTGATGTTAGCAGAGAGAATGCATCACTTTCTTCTGCGGTTTCCACTCTTGAACTATTAAGTCTTGACACCATGAAAGAATGAGGAGACAAGCACAGTAAAGATGAAGGCAAAAAACCATGCAAGGGTTTCTTCATGTCTTGGGTCTTCATAAGTTTGCCCTTGCCAGACTTCTAGCTCAATTTCTTGTTGAGTCTTACCTTTCTTCTTCTCCTATGCTATATCTGTCCTAAGTCACTTGCATTTGTCTGAACCATCAGAATGTCCTATAGCCACCATCTAGTTATCTCTCACTAGAAATAATCATTTATACTCTTCAAATCTATTTTAATTGAAGGACAGTTATTCATTTTGCAACTCAAGTTCAAACTTCATCTCCATTTAATCATTTTGTTTTATTTTTCTTGCACAAGCAGATACATATCCAACAATTTATTCTATATTTTGTTTACCTTTGGGTACTCCATTGGTGTAGTTTCATTATTAATTCATCTCTCTACTCCCTACAACCTAACAGAGAGCCAAGCATATAGCAGATGCTTCACAGGTGACTGAAAAAATCAGGCGGAGAGGCACAGAACACATAGAGATAAAATACACATCAATAATTCAGATCAACCTCTTCTGATAGAGTTTCCTTTTACCTTTGAGGGGAAAACTGGAGTATATTTCACTCTCAAAAACTACCAAAGCCCAGAAAGAGAAAAGATATGGAGAAATCAGAATGTTTAAAAAAGTTTATGGAATGAAAAGTATATTAAAAAGGTGTTGCATATTTAATGGTATCCTCATTTTACAAATATTTCCCATATCAAAGGTTAGCAAAGGAAATGTAGACAGCAAAACAAACAAACAAAAAAGCATGTGCGATTTATTACCAGGCCAGAGGCATTCCCATGTAAATTTAGTTCTTCCAACAACCAGTATATGATTTAGAATGGAAGAATTGATTGGGAACTTTTTACTCCCAGATGTGTGGCAGAAAGCAGAAGAGACAGTATGATTAGTTGTTGGGCTAAAGGTTTCTTATATGAACAGAGTTTTTGAACATTCGTGACCCACTTTTAGTGCTGAGACTGGGACAGTCTTGAGCAAGAAAAGGGTAATTTGTCATGCTATGAGAATCCTCATGAAAACAGCTGGACTTAGGAAATTCTAAGTGTTTTTCATAAAAGCTCAAAAATGTTCCTCTCACCTCCTAGGATCATGTCATTTGAAACTTGATACTTTCAGATAGTCTTGTCAGACTTCCTGTTCTATGTTAAAGGGCAGATTTCCTTGGAAATCCTATGTTTTGATGTCATTAACACATTGTTAATGTTAATTCTTTTAGCGACTATTTACTGTTTAAATTATCTATGTATAATGTTATGCATTAGTACTGTGTGCTAACTGGTTTGCAAACATTGTTTCATGTCATGTAAAAGGCTAATGAAGTAGTCACTAATATTATTTTTGACATGAGCAATGCAAAGTTAAATAAATTAATTTTCCAAAGATAACAGACCTGATGAATAATTATTCCTATGTTTAATAATGGTTATATAGGTTGGGCACAGTGGCTCACACCTGTAATCCCAGCACTTTGGGAGGCCGAGGCAGGTGGATTGCTTGTGCTCAGGAGGTTGAAACCAGCCTGGGCAACAAGGCAAAAACCCATCTCTACAAAAAATGGAAAAAATAGCTGGGCATGTTAGTGTGCGCCTGGAGTCCGAGCTACTAGAGAGGCTGAGGTCGGAGGATTGCTTGAGCCCAGGCTGGGCGACAGAGTGAGAAAGAAAGAAAGAAAAGAAAGAGAAGAAAGAAAAAGGATAATGGTTATATATTTTAATCATAAGATATCTGAACTTGAATACCCGGACATTCTGTTCTCTGAGGTACATTCTAAGTATGAAGCATCTTGCTGGATACTCTGAGACTTTTCAATATCCATGATGCACTGTGCTTAAGATGTTTACTATCTTATGGCTGGGCGCGGTGGCTCATCCCTGTAATCCCAGCACTTTGGGAGGCCGAAGTGGGTGGATCACGAGGTCAGGAGTTCGAGACTAGCCTGACCAACATAGAGAAACCGTGTCTATACTAAAAATACAAAATAAGCTGGGTGTGGTGGCACTGGCCAGTAATCCCAGCTACTTGGGAGGCTGAGGCAGGAGAATCGCTTGAACCCAGGAGGCAGAGGTTGCGGTGAGCTGAGATTGTACCATTGCACTCCAGCCTGGGCAACAAGAGTGAAATTCCATCTCAAAAAAATAAATAAATAAATAGAAAGATGTTTACTATCTTACATGGGGATACAACATGCAGATAAATAGCTAAGATATCACTGAAAATTTGCATAGCACTTTGGTGTACACAACCCCTTCACAAATAGTAAGTGAATTGACCATTCTAATGGCTCATTAAAACAAGCATAACAGGAGTTTATAATTTCCATTTAATAGATCAAGAAACTGAGGTTCAGATAAACTAATGATGTTCAATAGCTATTGATATTGCAGCGGGGTTTAAAATCCAGACATTTTCCTTATAGGCTGATGTTCATTTTACTTTACGGTGTGGCTTCAAATACACATTACCAAGTCATAATTACATTATAGAAATTTCCCTTTGGCTCATGAATTCCAGCAACCTTTGTGATTTGCAACCCCAGTCACATCATACTTCTGAAACTTCATAAATGTTTTTTGGATGAATGAATCCACATTTCCAGATAGTCTCACCCTTAGAATTTATTTTATCCACAATCAGTAACAATTTAGAGACCCACAAAGCAATCACCTTATTCATAAACAGAAATGAACATCTTGAAAAGCTGTAAAGTTGAGTGGCTAAAAACCCTTGAGCGAGACTGGCTTTATAATCCAGCTCTTCAGCTCTCTGCCTGTGGTGAGTATGAGGAGGTTACTTACCATAACATTTCTTTTGAACCTTTCCTCAATATCTCCTCTGGTACAATTAGAGTAATATTCTATGTATCTCAGGAGGTTGTTATATGAATTGAATGAAGTAATATGAGTACACATCTGAGAACAGGATCTGGCACTTAGTAATATATATCTCAGCTACTATTATCATGGACATAATAATTATTATTTTACTCAGAAACCAAAAAAATTAACATAGGTTCAGCCACTTGTTTTATCTGGGAAATATTATTTTCACCAAGCTAAATTTCTTCATCTACATAATTGGATAATAGTCAAACTAATATACTGAAAACACTTGTTCAGTGTTAACCCGATATAATTGTCCAATAAAATTTCTATATTTTTATTTCATTTTAACAAATATTGTGTAAATACTGTATACCAGGTCTTCTGGTAGTCACTGGGGATAGAACAGCTTTTAAAACAGGTAAAACTCATTTTTTTCTTTTATTTTAATGGGGGATACAGACATAATACAGAAATAAATTATTTTCACAAATAAATTACATATACTGAATCTATACTCAGCCAGAACACTTAGAGCTAAAATATGCCACATATAATTTATCATTCATTTAACTTTTGAATTATGGTGTTTATTCAGTTGTCTGTACATCCTATAAGTTTGCTAAGGGTATAAATTAGAGTTTCAACTCAGAGCAAAGAGACCACTTTACAGATATTATGTTTTTTAATGATTAGCACTTAATTTTTTTAGATTAGTGATGGTAAAACAAAAATGAGATCACTTCTAATGTTGCTGACAGAGTCCCAAACCCAAGTATTCTGAGTCAGTGTATTCTATAAATCCTTTTAATAATGAATATTAATGATTAACTTTATTAAAGTTATTAGAGCCATTGATGACTTTTCCAGGTATAAAATTATAGAGTCATTACATTTTAAAATACAATCATAAAATTATATGCATAGAGGGCCATGCAGATACAATTTTGAATATGAAACTGTCACAGGGATAAATGTTAGCTAGCAAAATCTACATTAATGCAAGCATTAACGTTCTGCAAGAGACTTCCAGTTCAGGCTGGGCTAAATTGTGATCACAGTGCTAAATCACTTGGCAAGAGACCGAATAACCTAACTGGGATTCATATATTTCTTAGAAGAGCTTCCTGTTATCCCTCACCTAAAAGTGATTTTCATTACTAAGAACACTTAATTTAACTCTGTATCAGCAATTTTCATATTGGGCAACTATATTTATTATAATTGAACATTTATATATTCTGCAGATTGCTAAAACAATGACTCTCTTGCCAGTTACTACATGAAGAGATATATATTTTTAGAAATGCTGATTTGAATGTTGTAATTATCATCATACCTCAAGCAGGAATGCCCATAATAGAACAACTATTTAAGGATATTTCAATTAACTACTTTATTTTTATTCAAAATATTGTTTATTTTAAAAATGATATGCAACAGATCAGCAGGAATTGGTCGCAATGAGCCACAATATTTTCCACAATTATAAATATATCACATTTATTTGCATTTCCAAAAATATACTTTTGATCAAAAATAGTAATCCAATATTTTATTTGACTTTCCCCAGTGTTGTTTTCAAACAGTGGAACACTTTGTTATTCATTTGATAGGGAAATATATAGTTTAACAAAATTTTACATAAATGTATGTGTGGGATGTGTTACGCTGGGATAAATTTTTTGTAAATATAGTTTTGGACTGAAAAAAAGGGATGGGGATTTCACTTATATTTCTAATATGTGTCTTTTTCGCATTCATGACTTTACATTTCATTTTTGAGAGCTACATAGTTTTATGATCTCTAGAATTGTATTGGGTTTTTCCTTCTTTCTCTCTTTTTTATGTCCAAGCTTGCTTGTCCTGTGATATCACTGTGTTGTCTTTAACATTTAATACTGTCATTCTGTGTCCAGCTAATGCAATGTTGTCACATTCACATAGAGAAAGGAAAATAGCCAGTAGCACAGTATTTAGTAAATGCCCCAAATGCCATGATCTGTGCTTTTTACAGTGAAATTAAAAGTAGGTTATTCTTACCAAAAAAGACACACACACACATACACACACACACACACACACACACACACACACACAGAATAAAAAACTGAATTAAATGCATCTTCATTTTTGATATTTCTATTTTCCTTGATTTTATTATTGCACGGAATTTACCTTAGTCTGTATGTACTTCCCTAGTCACTTCTTTTTCCTATTTTTTTGCAAGACAATAACAAATGGTTGTTAAGGACTCAGAAGCAGAAACATTTGTATACAAACTCCAGTTGTTTTAATCTTAACAGTTGTGTGAATTGCGCAAGTGATGGAAGCCTTAATTTTGTTGTGTTATGTGCAAAATTTAGATAATAAATATTGCCCCCTAATTAATGGCTTACTGAAAGGTTAAATGTGATAATGCATATGGCATTTTTAGCACTTGGTGAACATCACTAATACATGTGTTATCATTGACTTGTGCCCCTCTTCCTATTGTTGAAATCCAAGCATTATTTAAGGTTCTACCATTTATTGCTCTCTTCTATTTTTATGGCTTTAGTATGTAGCTCCACTCATTGTCAAAACATCAGTAATTCCAATATCAAAACATTCTTAATGAAGTGATATTAAAACAAGCTTTATAAAACTTCATCTTAGGATTAAAGTGGTATCACTGATTTTAAAAGTTTGAGAGGTAAAAATAAATTTGTTATTTTAGAAACAAAAGATAAAGAAGAAAATGCATTATTTGGTACTCACTCGTATTTATATTTTCTTCGGTAAGCTTAGAACTCACATTAGTTCAGTGACTTTGAAAGAATGTTAATTTAGCATTTAGCCTGCTTGGTATTTGGAATTAATGAATATAAAAATTAATAATCACTTTCATTTGTCACCAAAAATGATTTCAAGATATATCTGCTGATAAATAGAATTGCCATGTATAGCATAAATTTCTATATGAGAATGTCCACAGAAATGATTTCAATATATCTGCTGATAAATAGAATTGCCATGTATAGCATAAATTTCTATAAATGAGAAACTCAGTTGTCACCTAAATTATTGTAGATACATTTGCCTTAAATCAAAGAATGTATAGAAATGTACGATATAATCAAGTTTTTGAAGTCTTTGTAAAAAAGAATATGTAAATTGATGATATATGCAAATAGTACTTGAGAGTATATATATTAAATAATTGCCTTAATAATATGACTGGTCTACTTAGTTTGCAAGGTTAGAACACTAGAAATCAATTAAAATTCCTTCCTTTACCTTATCCTTCTGTCTGCCTGTTCAAACATTGCTTTTACATCCTAAATTTCTCTTAAATCCACTCAATCCTCTATCTAAATGTATTTAGTACATTATTTCAGAACCTCATCAGTTCTCACATGGACCAATGAAATATTATTAAATCCATTCTTTTGTTTTTATTTATGTCTTCTTCTGGTGAATCTGCCAAAGGATTATTCTAGAGTTTACATATTCAGGATTCTCTCTCAGATTTGTAAGTACGTGGCTTTGTAATGTCAAACGTATACCAAACATTTTAGTGTGGTAGTTCTCAAACTTTAATAGGTATCAGGATCACCTAAATAATTTTGGCTGGGTGCGGTGGTTCATGCCTGTAATCCCAGCACTTTGGGAGGCCGAGGCGGGCGGATCACGAGGTTAGGAGATTGAGACCATCCTGGCTAACATGGTGAAACCCCGTCTCTACTAAAAATACAAAAAAAAAAAAAAAAAAAAAAAAAATTAGCCTGGCGTGGTGGCGGACGCCAGTAGTTCCAGCTACTCGGGAGGCTGAGAAAGGAGAATGGCGTGAACCCTGGAGGCAGAGCTTGCAGTGAGCCGATATCGCGCCACTGCACTCCAGCCTGGTGACAGAGGGAGACTCCGTCTCAAAACAAACAAAGAAAAACAAATAATTTTCTGGGATTATTTTCCAGAGTCTCTTATGCAGTAGTTTTGGGTGAACCCCGGCAAGGTGCAATTCTAGCAAGTTTCCTAGTGATGCCAATATAGCTGATCCTGGAACCAAACTTTGAGAATCATTGCTTTAATCTAACCTAACACATTCTCCATGACTTCTCTAGCTTGTTTCTCAAACCTAATCTCTCATCACTTTCTCAAACTTATTCACATTTCACATAGGCCTAAATAGTGTGAGCTCTTGTACATTTCCATACAGGATCGTATGTTCTTTCTGGAACATCCTTTATTTCACTACTCCATTGCTTTGCAACTTTGTTTACCTGGGTTACTGATAATCCAATTCAGGATTCAGCACAAACATAGTCTTGTACACCTTCCCAAACTCTTATTTTGTGTAACTTTCGCATATGTAAGGGAGTCCCTGTGCATACATATGTCCCAATACTTACCAAAATGTAATTAGCTATTTTTTCTGTTTTGCATACAATTTTTGTGAGCTCCTCATCTTATATATCCCTATATATTCAGAAACGTATCTGGCAATTTGACTCTATAGATATTTATCATAAAGTAAAATATGTACATGTCAATCACTGGAAGGAATATTAAAAATAATAAATAAAAATATATCCATTACATTAATGGCATGCTTGTGTGTTTCCTCCTTTAATAGTTTAAGGATATTCTGATTTTTTATAAATAAGAATAATTTCTTATATGTTGTGAATTTTAGCAATGACATTAAAATATTGATGATATTATATAGTGTGTTCTATATAATCCTTTTTTAGGGTGAGGCCAAATTATATTTGCTGTTTTATTTTTCTTATCTAGTATGTACTGAAGTGGTAAGAAGAGATCATATTTCTTATGTATTAAGTGACAGTTCATTAATTTACTAAATTAAGGAATATGTATCAAAAGCTTACTATGTAGCAAGCACCATTTAAAGTTATGTAATTTCCCCAAACTCAAAGAGATAAAAGTAAACAGTGAAGAAGCAGGTCAGTATATCTGACCCATTGCCATTTCACTATCTGTTCTTCTCCCTATGTGCTTTGGTTGGTAAAATTTGTGTCAGAATACCAGCTTACTAATAAATGAAATTGACCTGCAACTCTCTCAAGAAACATTTATGCTAAGTGTAGCTCTTAGCAGAAGATTACAGCTACTGGGAAATTCTCAGCAACAGAGAAGAGGATGCAAGTGAAATGAAAAGCAATTGGGCAGTCTAATTGAGAAAGTAATGATGATACTCAGTATGAAAATAGATATTCTGATGGCATTACCTTCCCTAGGATATTCTCATACTAATCTATGATATTTCTAAAGATGTATGATGTGTTTTCACTATCTTTAACCATAAGTGATGTAGAAAACATTTAATAGAATAACAAGAACAATTTTCAATGTGTACATAAACAAAAAATTTTGAAAATGAACTCAAAACATTCACAGAAATTTTTTCAAGTAAGCTTGCAAAGTAGAACAGAAATATCTTAATAATTATTAGATTTCACCCAATATCTAAGAAATAGAGGTGGGGCATAAACTTTTTATACATATAGAAATCATAAAATGAGTGATTTATTCTCTATGTCACCAACACCCTATATTTAATATAATACATATGCTAAAAGGATTTATGGAGAAAAAGTAAAGTATTACTCATAAAATAATTACTATGCTGAAAAGGGATTTGTGAAAACAAATCCTGTGATTACAGTGTCTAATATAATATATTTTCGATTATATCCCTTTCTACTAATCATTTCCATATGAACCTTAGCTTTACATTTCATGATTATAAGGACAGATACTTATATTGTGATTAGCCCACAAGATGGGATTTATAATTTAAAATTAAATAAAAATTCTAGCCTATTAGGGATAGGCATTCAAATATATATTCACTTACTACTAATAATGTAGAAGTTGATTTTACTTTTTTTTGAGACAGAGTCTCACTCTGTCACCCAGGCTGGAGTGCAGTGGCGCGATATTGGCTCACTGCAAGCTCCGCCTCCTGGGTTCACACCATTCTCGTGCCTCAGCCTCCCGAGTAGCTGGGACTACAGGTGCCCACCACCATGCCCGGCTAATTTTTTGTATTTTTGGTAGAGACAGGGTTTCACCGTGTTAGCCAGGATGGTCTTGATCTCCTGACCTTGTGATCCGCCCGCCTTGGCCTCCCAAAGTGCTGGGATTACAGGCATGAGCTACTGCGCCTGGCTGATTTTACTTATTATTGAAAAATAATTTCACATTTTTTATGATGATGTGAGAATATGAAAATAAAATGAAATTATAGTAAATACATTGATAGAAGATTAAGTTGATAATTTGCATAGAGCATATTGGCTGGGTGCAGCATTTGTAATCTCTATGTTCCTTGACCGAGGGCATGGATGTTCACATTTATGCTGAGAATTTAATTGTAAGCAGAATGTTGACTTTTTTCTCCTCCCTGCTTTTGCTATTCTCAGATTAAAATGGCATTTCTTGCCCTAACACATTTTGTTTATTCATCACATTTTTATTGTTACTAGTTTTATTTGTAGTTAAGTAAGTCTGCAGAAATCTTCCTCCCAAACTGTTCTCCCTTAATCAGAGATTCCTGCTGATCCCATTGTGGTGATTAGTTAAGCTAATGACTGCTTGCCTTTAGATTTGGGTGCAGGGAGAAACACATTTAAAACTCTTGTTATGAAACCATTAAATTAATCTTAAGATACTCATATTAATATAAAAATTAGCTTGTCATTTCATTATCAGTCATGTCCTCAGCTTTTTAATTTTTTGGCCAGTATGTTTCTCAATAATGCCTAGCTTATTTGACTCATAGATCCCTAACTTCTTGACCAATGCCCCTCAACTCTGCTGTGATCTTTATGATTTCACCTTTATAAGATTCTGTTTTCTGATTTTCTCCTGAATCTTTAGATTCAACCTATTTGCCTGCTATTTGCTTTTTTCAATACGATACTATTCACATTTTCAGATTACACCTGAATATGGTTTGGCTGTGTCTCCAGCCAAATGTCAACTTGAATTGTATCTTCCAAAATTCCCACATGTTGTGGGAGGGACCTAGGAGGAGGTAATTAAATCATGGTGGCTGGTCTTTCTTGTGCTATTCTAGTGATACTGAATACATCTCATGAGATCTGATGGGTTTATCAGGGGTTTCTGCTTTTGCTTCTTCCTCATTTTTCTCATGCCATTGCCATGTAAGAAGTGCCTTTCGCCTCCCACTGTGATTCTGAGGCCTCCCCAGCCATGTGGAACTGTAAGTCCAATTAAACTTCTTTTGGTTCCCAGTTTTGGGTATGTCTTTATCAGCAGTGTGAAAACAAACTAATACAGTAAGTTGGTACCAGTAGTGGGATGTTGCTGAAAAGATAACTGAAAATGTGGAAGCAACTTTGGAACTGGGTAATAGGCAGAGGTTGGAACAGTTTGGAGGGGTCAGAAGAAGACAGGACAATGTGGGAAAGTTTGGAACTTCCTAGAGACTTGTTGAATGGCTTTGACAAAAATAGTGATATGAACAATTCTAGGCTGAGATGGTCTCAGATGTAGATGAGGAACTTGTTGGGAACTGGAGCAGAGGTGACTCTTGTTAAGTGACTCTTGTTATGTTTTAGCAAAGAGACTGGCAGCATTTAGCCCCTGCCCTAGAGATTTGTGGAACTTTGAACTTGACAGGGATGATTTAGGGTATCTGGCAGATGAAATTTCTAAGGAGCAAAGCCTTCAAAAGTGACTTGGGTGCTGTTAAAAGCATTCCATTTTAAAAGGGAAACAGAGCATAAAATTTCAGAAAATTTGCAGCCTGGCAATGCAGTAGAAAAGAAAAATCCATTTTTTGAGGAGAATTTCAAGCTGGCTGCAGAAATTTGCATAAGTAGCAAAGATACTAATGTTAATCCCCAACAGCATGGGGAAAATGTCTCCAGGCCATGTCAGCAACCTTCATGGCAGCCGCTCCCATCACAGGCCCAGAGGCCCAGGAGGAAAAAACAGTTTTGTGGGCCAGGCCAGGCTCCCTGTGCTGTGTGCACCCTTGGGACTTGGTGCCCTGTGTTCCTGCCACTCCAGCCATGGCTGAAAGGGGCCAATGTAGAGCTTGGGCTCTGGGTTTAGAGGGTGGAAGCCCCAAGCCTTGGCAGCTTTCACATGATGTTGAGCCTGTGGGTACACAGAAGTCAAGAATTGAGGTTTGAGAACCTCTGCCTAGATTTCAGAAGATGTATGGAAATGCTTGGATGCCCAGGCAAAAGTTTTCTGCAGTGGTGGGGCCCTCATGGAGAACCTCTGCTAGGGCAGTGCAGAAGGGAAATACGGGGTCGGATCCCCACATAGAGTCCTTTCTGGGGCACTGCCTAATGGAGCTGTAAGAAGAAGATGCCACTATCCTTCAGACCCTAGAGTGGTAGATACACAGACAGCTTGCACCGTGCACGTGGAAAAGCCTCAGACACTCAATGCCAGCCCATGAAAGCAGCCAGGAGGGAGGCTGTACCTTGTAAAGACACAGGGGCAGAGCTGCCCAAGACTATGGGAACCCACCTCTTGCATCAGCATGACCTGGATGTGAGACCTGGAGTCAAAGGAGATCATTTTGGAGCTCTAAGATTTGACTGCCCTGCTGGATTTCAGACTAGCATGGGCCCTCTTACCCCTTTGCTTTGGCCAATTTCTCCTATTTGGAATGGCTATATGTACTCAATACCTGTACCCCCATTGTATCTAGGAAATAACTAGCTTGCTTTTGATATTCAGGCTCATAGGCAGAAGGGACTTGCCTTGTCTCAGATGAAACTTTGGACTGTGGACTTTTGGGTTAATGTTGAAATGAGTTAAACCTTTGGGGGACTGTTGAGAAGGCATGATTGATTTTCAAATGTAAGGACATGAGATTTGGAGGGGTTGGGATGGAATGATATGGTTTGGCTGTGTCCCCACCCAAGTCTCAACTTGAATTTTTTCTCTCAGAATTCCCACGTGTTGCAAGAGGGACCCAGGGGGAGGTAATTGAATCATGGGGGCCAGTTTTTCCCATGCTATTCTCATGACAGTAAATAAGTCTCAGGAGATCGTATCAGTTAATCAGGTGTTTCCACGTTTTCTTCTTCCTCACTTTTCTCTTGCCGCGGCCATGTAAGAATTGCCTTTTGCCTCCTGCCATGATTCTGAGGCCTCCCCAGCCATGTGGAACTATAAGTCCAATTAAACCTCTTTTTGTTCTCAGTTTTGGTTATGTCTTTTTTAGCAGCATGAAAAAAAACTAATACAACCTGTTTCTAGATTAAAGTATATTTTGATGGTAACTTAACATTTAGCCCAGAGTTGATACTGATGTCAATATAAAATCTGAAGTAGACATAGAATTATGGTATACTTTGGGGTAAGAAGTGGAAGTACTTGGAAAAAATTCAACAGATAAGCAGTCAATTAGCATATTAAACTATATAGTATATAAAACTATTCATTATAGTAATCAATATTACAAACAACTTTTCTAGGGAATCTTTGAAATGATGAATGCTCAAGGATCCTAAGTATATCAATCTATACAATGCAAATTTTAACAACTTATGTAAGCAATTCTACATCTATCTATCATGAACTTCCATTATGAAAAACATCACTTTTAGTATGAATATCAGAGTCATCTAAATTTTACAGACAAAGAAATCGATTGTGGAATAAAATTTTTCAACCAAACCAAATGTTTAAAATTTTGCTCATGTTTTTCGTTTCAGCAAATAAAAGCAATAGGTCTCTTTTCTTTTCAGCATTCAATTTTTCAATTGATTTTTATTGATGTGTTATGGATTATTTTTCTGTTAAAATACATATTTTTAAACCCTTCTGAACTTTCCAATAATACTTTAATATTATTTTATATCAGTTATATTCTCATAATTGAGTTAGATCATTTCCTCTATAGTTTAATAAACCACTGTTAGAATATTTTTTAAATGCTAATAACACTCTATCTACTGCATTGTACTACATTTTGCATAACAATTATATATTAAAATACTTTTCTAATATTGATTTTCTAAGTTGATTTTCTAATATCTAATTTTCTAAGTTGAAATTTGTCTTCCCCATCCTCTTGGACATTGAATAAAATGATTACTGTGAATATCAACATTTTATATTCCTTAAATGTTTGAAGATAGCTTTCATTTTTCTCTTCTATCTTTATTTCACTGGGCTAATCATTCTCATTTTTTCTCTTCTCGCTTTTGACTCTCATCATCATAGTCTACCTTGTGTCGGGGCTGTTTTCAAATAAAGCAGGTTATGCACAAAATTAAATATATTGTGATTAACAACTTTCTTAATTTGAACTCTGTATTTCAACAAATGCAACTGAATTCTTATTAGATTCATGGTAATAAGTTTACATTTGTTTTTAACTAAAATTCCCTGAAGCTTGTTCACATGTGCTAATGGTAAATCCCACCTTTCCCATTCTGTCTTGCCTGTTATATCCCTATCCATTTGTCTTCTTCCCTCTCCCTTCCTACTTGCTTTCCTCTCTCTTCCTCCCTTCCTTTCTTCTTTCTTCTCTCTCTTTATTCATTTTCTTCCTATTCTCTCTTCCTATTTAGTTTTCTCCTTTATTTCCTCCATTTTGTTCTTCCTTTCTTTCTGCATGACCACTCTGTTGACAAAAGTCAATGATAGCTTAGATTGACATAAAGCAGCCATAAACAGCAATAGAGTATATCAAACAGTGCATTTTTATAAAATATGAAGAAGGAAGTTAGTATGGTCATGATATATACCAGTGAGAGCTACAGGATTATCTAAATCCTCACCATCATGTAGACAGTTACTGATTTTATCTGAGTTAGGGATACATAGATCTCCTAGAAAATTATCTCTGCAACTTCCAGACCCAGCACTATATATCTATACATTAGAATGGAACAGCTTTTCAAATGGGGTAGTTTAGATTTGTGCTAGGGTTATCTCTGGGGTGTATTCTGATTAGACAGTACTATAAAAAACTGTACTCTTAAGCACTGTTACCATTTTTCTTCATCATGTTCAGTTTTGCCAGGCTACACTACTTGGTAAAAGTAGATTCCTGATTTTCATTCTGTGGAACTCATGCTTTATGTTTTCACATATATTTTCTTTATACACTTTGCATTTCTCTCCTATATTTTTCATATTATTGTGTTTGTTTTTGATATTTTGTTTGTTCTGGAAAGGATCTGTATCTTTCAATGGACTCAGCATCTGTTTCCATCTTCAGAAGAAACTATTTAGAAAAAAATACAGATCTCAAAATGCAAGAACTGAGGACTGGCTCTGCTACATATTAGCCCTGTAACTTGAGCTAGTTATTTAATCTCTCCTATGCTTCAGTTTCTTAATCCGAGAAAAGGATAAAAATAATACCAATCTCATATATTTTTATGATAATTAAAATACATAGTTTATTTCCAGTATCCAGCAAACTATCTGATACAGATACAGAACTTAATAGAAATAGCAATTAGTTTGATCAATTTGCCATTGTTTTAATCAGCTCAGGCTACCATAACAAGAACATCATAAATTGAGTGGTGTAAACAACAGAAATTTACTTCCCCCAGTTCTAGAGGCTGGGAATTCCAAAATCAAGGGACTGGCCAATTTGGTTCCTGGTGAAGTCTCTTTTCCTGGCTTGTAGAGGGTGGCCTTCTGACTTACATACTGGCTTGACCTTACCATGCTGTATGCATGCAAAAAGAGAGATAAATCTCTCTCTCTCGTTCTTCTTATAAAGCCCTAAATTCTATCAACTTAAGATCCCCTCTATGACCTCATTCAAACCTAATTATCTGCTAAGAGCTTTGTCTTCTAATAAAATCACATTGAGAGTTTGGGCTTCAACATATTATTTGGGGGGACAAAATTCCACATATATCAGTTATCAAATCACTCCATCAAGCCATTTAAAAATATTGAAGAGAACAACGATTTGGTCGTCTGTGTGTATTCCATGTGTATATTCATATACAGATCACACTTTCAGACACACAAATGTGAATTCTCCTCTTTTCACCATTCACTAATCACTAATCAATTTTTATTAGGTATTTTGTTGTAGCATTGATTTTTTTGACATTTAGAAAATGATATTCCATTTCTTTTTCTTACTATAATTACTAATCAATTAAAACAAGTTTTTGGTCTCTACTAAAAATACAAAAATTAGCTGGGCATGGTGGCGGCTGCCTATAATTCCAGGTACTAGGGAGGCTGAGGCAGGAGAATCACTTGAACCTGGGAGGCAGAAGTTGCAGTGAGCTGAGATTGCGCACTGCACTCCAGCCTGGGTGACTAAGTGAGACTCCGTTTAAAAAAAAAAAAAAGCTTTTACTTTTATTTACTATGTGCCAGGACATTATTCTAAGAATTTTTACATGTAACAATTAACTTTTACAGTTTTTATACTCCTTTGTCTTCTTTTCTCGAAATTTTAATAATTTCTGTGTATCATTCTTGGGTCACCTCTTGCTGTGAGGCTACAGAGAGGGGTGGAAAGGGTTATTAGTTTTGAAGTCAACTGGATATACATTACTTAGTTTGTTGAATAAATTATCACATTTTCTTTTTTTTTCTCTTCCTTCCATTCTCCTTTCCTTTCTCTCTTTGTTGGTTTCTTTTACTTTTGTTTTCTTCTTTCCTACACTGTTCCTGCCTTATTTCTTTTTCTCCTGTTAAAAAAAAAAAAAAAAAAAAAAAAAACTATGGGAGGACATTGTTTTGGACCAGCCTCCTGCACTAGGCTCCTGAAGACCAGACCAAACAGAATGCAGTAATTTGTGCTAAGTATATATAATCAAGCTGAACTTTAAAATGGGCCAGTTTTCAGAAAAAAATCTGGATATTCCCGTCAGCCTACGTCAACATAACAGAAATAGTTCCCACTCTGTCTTAACGCTGTAAGGAAAGTCACTTTGAAATTACCAATCTACTTTTCGTTTCCTGTTTCTGTCTCTTCAGCCCTTTTCTGCCCATAAAGCCAGCTTCCCCTGCTCAGCTCATTGGAACACTCATTCTAATTTATAGAATGTGGTGTTGCCCGACTCTGGAATAACAAATAAAAGCCAATTAGATTTTTAAACAAAATTTGTTATAATTTTGTCTTTTGACACTCCTTTCCTCCTTTTGTGTGACTATATTCATTGTTATTTCCTTACTTGCTTGTCTTTACTCTGTGTAGGTAGTACAGCTTTACTTCTTATATTTACTATCTTCATTTTGGTAAGTAATTTAACCTTTTCATAATTTTTAAAAATAGGGATAATATATATGGTATACACAAAATATGTCTGATACATTGTAGGCAATTCCCAAAGTTTATTGAGAACAGTTTAGTACTTGTATTTTAAAATTCTCTCATTATTCTGAATGAGACTTTTGTGAGTAATCAGCATTTAGCAAGTCTTGGGAGCACAGTCTTTCAGGTTCTCTGTAGATATACACATAAGCATATGTTCTTTAAAAACAAACAATGATAACAAACAAAAAAGAGCATAGTTTCAAACATGATCTAATTCTGCCCCATTCTAATTGTGGATAGTCACTGATGACCAAATATCACTTAAACATATATGTGACATCTTTACTTTGACTTGAAATCAGCAATTAACTGCAGATTGAAAAATTTGAATCCATATGCCAACTTAATTTACATAATTAAATTATCTTAAAGATTCTCTCTAATATTTCTCTATTTTATTTTATCTTTCTCCATCAAACAACTTTTATTGTAAGAACACGAGTATTTTACAAAATGCAGAACCAAATCAGCAAACACATTTCTTAGGCAAAGAGAAGAGAGTCGCTCAGGAAAATTTAACAGGTGGTATTTTAAATACAATATACAATTTCCCCTCCCCACCCCAGAAAAAAAAATGGCATTAAGGAGACTTAGCAGATAATCACTCAGTCTTGATATCTATTTTCAACATATAAAATTAGTAAGACAAAGCCTGATTGGCTCAACCTAGATGATTTGAAAAGAATGAAATCATTTAGCTATGGCCAAAGGACTCAGGCTTATAGGAGAGAGAAGGATACAGAAAGGTCTCAAAGAAGAGGTACCTGTTGGATAGACTAATCAGCCTCACACTAGTGCCTTCCAACCATAGGGTACCAATACCATACCTACTGTGACATATTTGACATGTCACCATATGTGAAATTTCTAGATCCTTTTTTAAAGCACAAATGCAGGTATTATAAACAATGAACCCAAGTTCAAGCTAGCACCAATCCCAAAGTCACATCCCCAAAAGGCAAATGTGTTCATATCAATTAATAACTGACATGCTGAGGTCACTCACTGAGTTTAAATCATTCACATGGTGTCCGTGGCTTTCAGAGAATTGTTGTGACCCTTTCAGATTCAGAAACCTATGGGCTAAACATTAAATGTAAATGCTGCAAATACAAAACTTTACATACTAATTGAAGAACCAAGCATGCCAATTTACCAAGCTGCAAAACAAATTGCTCATTACCCCTAACAGACAAATTATTCCCCTTGAGCTCTAAAATCTAAAAACATTTGAGTGAGGAGCACTCATCTTTAATCATGGGAGATTCAATGCTCAACCACGACCCCTAGTTGCACAGGAGAAGCATACATGCCTAGGTCTTGCCTAAAACCATATTCCACATTCTTTGGGTCAACAACTTGACTGCACAATCTGTAGTTTCAAGCTTATCATGAGTAGAGTCTGCAATAGGCCTTTCCTGTGTTCGTAAGACCAGTTACATCTAACTGAAGGGAAGAATAAGAAACAGCCTGCTGTTGTTCTTCCCTCAAATTAATGAACAGGAGTGCAGTGGGTCTTCATGTGAATAAGAAGACAAAAGGGAAGCTCAGCAAACCTGCTTAAATCTATAGTGTTAGCAGGCCAGCTTGGCAGCCATGAATAATCTATATATTGTATTACTGGAGTGAGCACAATGGGCTAAGAAGGCAAACCAAAATCCAGACACATCTAAGGAGATAATTCAAAGTGTATAGGCATGCACACATTCTGCACATTTTTTTTCATGCTCTATACGAGGCTTTTACACTAAATTTTTAAAACACAGGATGTGATTCCTGACATTCTATCAACCATTTTATTAGGTGATATGTATCACAAATCATAAAGATCAAATCTCTACTATAGCCCTACCACCCTGAATGCACCCAATCTAGTCTAATATTTCTCTATTTTAATTCCACACAGCTGGAGCCCTCCATTATTATAAGTTTGAAGTTTTGCAAATCTTCCCTTTTTGTTTATTTAGTAATATATAACGTAAAATTCAGTCCTTTTAAAGTGTACAATTTACTGAATCTTAATGAACTTATACAATAATGTAACCACCACCAAAATAAAAATGAGAAATATTTCCATTGTCCGAAACAGGGTCTTCATTACCCTTTGCATTACTTTTTTCCTACATTACTCCAAGAATGTGGCAACTATTGGTATAATAGTTTTTAGATTTGCCTTTTCTAGAATGTCACATAATAATAAATCTTTCCTTTTAGATTTGCCTTTTCTAGAATGTCACATAATAATAAATCTTTCCTTTCTATAGTGACTAGTTCATTGTTACTAAAAAAGGGCCTATAACGGGCAAATAAGCAGAAAAAAAATGTTCTAATCAGACACAATGCTACTACTTGGCTGTTAGGCATTGTGTCTTCCTGCCTTCCAACTGCAAAAAAAAAAAAATGTCATTTTTCAGGGCTCTAGGCTTGAACGTATTAAAGATTGGTTGTTTATCTAAGGTGCGCTTCACTAAAAATATTTCATACAAATCAATAATTAGTTATCTCAAGATTTTCAAAGATATTCTTGAATTAGGAGGAAATTCTCTCGACAAATCAAATGTTCACCAAAAGGCCATTTTATCTGATGGTTCCTAGATGAGGTGACCAAAGCATTCACATCCAAAGTGTACTGAGACTGAGGATGAGATATGTGTCCTGCTGAGATAAGAACCTGATGGGCCTTTGCCTGTCTTAAAGTAAATTCCTTTTAGTAGAGATTGACTTTCTCTTTTCTGCTATGATTTTTCTGCTCAAGTTATACTAGAAAAGTATTTTTCAAATAGGAGTATAAAACAACTAGCCAGAATGATGATGAGAAATGATTAAGAATTCTAGTGATTTTAAGGGAATAGAGTTTATATTATCCACTCCAGCATAGTGATGGTTTTCTAGTGGGAAAAATAGAACTGGAACTGCATATGTTGTGATAGTTTGGTGGCAGGATACAAAAGAAATTCTTTGAAACAGCATTTAAAATTCCCTCAGGAGTATAAACATTATTTCTTCCTTGCCTGTGGGCAGCAGAGTGTAACATATGGGACATACATGCAATATGAGAGAAAACTGACAAACAGGAGGGACATGTTCTTTCCCTCTCTGTGGTCCCAGTTTGGTCTTTAGATTCTTAGGCACTATTCCCACTCTAGACAAGCTGGAAATAGATTTAGAATACAGAAACATATGCGTTAGAGGAATATCCCTAGAACTTTAAAGTTCAAAAGAAATAAGAAATTATGTAGCCTCCATATAACTCTATACAAGTTGTATTAGATGTGATATTTTGGAAGTTTGAACAATTGATTTGTGCATTTTACTTTATATTTATGACCTTAAGGAAAATTCATTAACTAGTGTGATTTTGTTAACTCCCTAACTGCTGATAAAGAGCAAGGGACACTGTGAACTTTCGATTCATCTGAGTTTATTGGAAGGGAAAAAAGTCACTAAAAATCCATGATAATAAAATTACTTAATGAATATTGAATAACCTATGATAAGTTATTGATATAAATTTAGTAAATGCTACATTTTAAATAAATAATATAAATAAGTTTATAAATAATGCCTTTAAGTCAATCATAAAGCATATGCTTTAAAATAAGAGTGGTTAGGGTAACTAGACAGGTTTTGCTATGTTTTATGTGGAGATAGAGGAGTGTATTTTAGAAATTGATGACTTTCTCTGTAAAGTTAAGTCAAGCGATTATTTTAATTTTTTCCCTTTATGGTTAAGACTCATAAAATATTGCTTTATTTCTAGAAATAGCGTTGATTTTTACTGTCTTTTCCTTTTGAAAACTAACACTCCAAAGAGAACACTAGACTTCCTGCATCGCTTTTCAACGTCTCAACCCATTTTAGAGGAGAATTCTGCCCAAAACACCTTAAATTTCTCATAAAATTATTTTTACATTTTGTTGCTGGTGAAATGTCACCTAAAACATTTTAATGTAAATTATTTGTTAAGGTAACTGGATTCTCAAGATGTAATATATTTATGTCTAACCTATAGCCCTTCATAGTACAGTAGCAGCCTCAACTTGTAAAAAAAATCACAATAAGCTGAAAAAAATACAAAACGAAATTAGCATTGTGACAGCAAAAACAAGGAGCACTAGGAAAATCAGGAAATTGAATGACACTGAAGAACATTGTATTTTTAAAAAATTTTTCTATTGTAGTGCTTCTTAGTAAAAGTTGAAATTAAAGCTACTGATTTCCTATTAGCAAATAAGGGAAACAGTCTAAGAGCACCTGAAAACTGGAAAATCTTTTATTTCTTAAAAGCTCTTTACCTTTGAAAACATCTTCATATGCAAACTTATAAACCCCACATTTTAAATGACAAATCCAATTATTTTCTTTGAAAGCAAAACAAAAACTAAAAACCAAAGAGAGTACTGAAGTTGTGGAAAAACATGGGTAGTCTTGTAGTTCACTCTCTAAGTCCTTTTGTATTCCCTCCAAAGTCATTATTTGTGGTTTCAGATAGAAAATACATTCAGGCAGCAAATCATGTTCCTTTTGATGGTATAATGTGATAATTCTCAAAAGGATCTCAGCACCCCCTTGTTCATATTTATGCAATTAACTAGTACTTTAAATGCCTAATATATCTCAAAATGAAGGCTAAATATTTCATTTTAATAAGATTTCATTTGATTGGAATTTTGGTTGTGAAGGACATTTGATGACACCTTTTCTTTTCATGTCTAAATTGCAGCTTATCAGTGGGAATTTCCACTTAGCTCTCAATAAATTTGGGGAATAAATGCCAAAATAAGAAAACATTAAGGAAATGGAAAAGTCCTAACAATATTATAGGGTTGATAGCACCTTTTTTATTACACCAGGGATTACTGAAAGGCAATGCACTTTTCACATTTTTCTAAGTCTTTATTTGCTATTACAGTTTAAAAAATCAATTAGAAAGATTATGTCATTCAATAATTATGATCAAAAGTAAAGAGGATAATTCAACTTTTCCAGGTTTTCTTTGATAATCAAATTGGCATAATTAAAGTGTGTTTCTCCTGTTAATTGCAATATTCAAGTAACAATAATAACCATTAATGAACAAATTTTCACATTTATGAATGGTATAATTTCATCAGATCATACATCATTCCTTTAACCATCTCTGGAGTTGTTATCAGTCTTTGCTGACCATTGCTGCCCTCAAAATTGCTTTCCTCATGGCAAATATAGTGTTTCTATGAGAATTTTGGCTTGAATTTGCAATAGCACATGTGACACCTATTTGAATATATGGTCATTTTTTGAGCTCACAATTTTACTTCTAAGTAAATACTCTGTGATGATGAATATTACACATCAATTTGGCTAGATTAAGACAAATAACGTGTCTTTTTTTGGTCACACACTAGATGTGAAGATATTTTGTAGATAGGACTAATATCTACTTTAAACAACTCTACCTTAACATTTATTTTAAGTTGATTTAAAGCAAAGAGATAATCCTTAATTTGCCTCATCTAGTCAGTCAAATGTTTTAAAAGCAAAAACCGAGGTTTTCCAGAGAAGAAGGAATTCTGCCTCAAGACTGTAACTTAGAAATCATTTCCCAGTTTCCAGACTGCCAGTCTGTGCTAAATGTCAACTCTTAGCTGAGTTTCCAGCCTGCTGGCCCGCCTCACAAATGTTGAACTTTCCAGGCACTACAATCAGGAACCAATTTCTTAAAATCACTCTCTCTCTCTGCACACACACACACACACACACACACACACACACACACACACACACACACACCCCTATAGGGTCTGTTTCTCTAAAGAATGCTGAGTGATACAAATTTTGGTGCTGGGAATGGTTCTAGAAGGACAGACTCTTCAAAATAAATTTTCTGAATTGATTCTGGGATTTTCTAGAATTGGTGCTCTAATCTGGTTAGATATAAAGGTACCAATGGCTCTATTTCTAGTAGTAAAGAGAGCACTGATGTTTTGTGGTGTGACGTGGCAAGAAAACTACGTGAAATGTCTCCATTGAATGCAATGGAAATATTCAAAATACATTGAAAATATCTCCTAATCAAATACAAGAGGAAAGGTTCTGGATGATCATGTATTTGATATTTTAGGACATTCTGTCAAACTAACAAGTAAAATGAGATTAGCTGATTGCTCCTAATTGTTCTGGACAAAGTGGGTACAGAAAAGGATGAGCTCATGGTTTCAAATTCCCAGCTCAAGTACAACATACATGATCTGAAAGTTTCTATATCTATCCTGAAAAACAAAAAACAAAACACACACACACACACACACACACACACACACACACACACACCCTTATCTCCTGTAGCAAAATTCAGCTACTTACAGGATAAGACTACTTATGGGTTAAGTTTGCTACAGGAGATAAAGGTGTGTGTGTGTGTGTGTGTGTGTGTGTGTGTGTGTGGTGTTTTCAGGATAGATATAGAAACTTTCACAATAGCAATGACTTGGAACCAACCCAAATGTCCATCAATGATAGATTGGATTAAGAAAATATGGCACATATACACCATCCAATACTATGCAGCCATAAAAAAGGGTGAGTTCATGTCTTTTGTAGGGACATGGATGAAGCTGGAAACCATCATTCTCAGCAAACTATCCCAGGGACAAAAAACCAAACACCGCATGTTCTCACTCATAGGTGGGAAGTGAACAAGACAACACTTGGACACAGGAAGGGGAACATCACATACCAGGGCCTGTTGTGGGGTGGGGGGAGGGGGGAGGGATAGCATTAGGAGATATACCTAATGTAAATGACAAGTTAATGGGTGCAGCACACCAACATGGCACATGTATACATATGTAACAAACCTGCATGTTGTGCACATGTACCCTAGAACCTAAAGTATAATAGAAAAAAGTATATAATGTCCAAAATCAAAGAGTGTCTGCTTTAACATTAGGGCACTGATTAGGAAGAAATGGAATCCTCAAAATTAGAGTGGGACATATTTTGATCAGCAATTTTGATGAAGCTGAGGACACTGAATTCCAAAATTCTGCAGTCATCTTTAGCAACAGCCCTTCCACACCTGTTTGAGGACATTACAGCTGCCTTCCCTGAGGAAATTAAATGAACTTTGAGACGCCTTGCAAGACTTTACTAATTCTACTCAGAATCCACCCCCATCACCCACCTTGCTTGTAGACCTCTAATTAGACTCAAATCCTAGATGAGCCAAAAAGGTGAAGTGCAAAGTGTGGCCCATGAAGAGTTGCACTATACTCCAAAAGAACCACATGATTTTTTCTAACTCATACAGAGAAATTTGAGGAATGTGTTTATTGCTTAATATTTTGGGTGATTTTTGTTGTTGTTGATATTGAGGTATCTTCTACATCCTTATGGTTTTTTGTCGTTTTTCTATCAACAAGTAAATGATATGTGTTAAAATCTCCCATTATGATGGTAAGTTTGTCTATTTTCATTTTTAGTTATATCAAATTTTCTTTAGGTATTTTATAGATATGTTGGTATGTTCAAACTTAGCATTCTAAGCTTTTCCTTGGATAAGTTATTGTAGCATTATGAAATGTGTCATCATCTGATATTATTGCTCTATCAAATCTTTCTTGGGGTTGTGCAGCTTATCTTCTATTACTGTTTCACTTCTTACTTTTGTATATATTTATTTTCAGTTGTATCTCCTGTAAGCAGCATAAATCAGGTTTTTTTCTATTATTTTAAACTTCAACTTTTATATGGAGTGCTTAATATATTCAGATTTAATAAAATCAGATATATTTGACTTTAAATTTAACACTTTATTTTTTCATTGTTTCTATTTCTTTTGTTCCTTTGATTATCTTTCTTAGAATGAAATCCTTTTTTATTTTCCACTTTATTAGCTTATTTTTACAATATTTTGCCTTTACTTTTAGCCTAAAAATTACAGCATGCTTCCTTGTTTTAATATATTTATATAAATTAGTACATTTTTCACTTTAAACAACATAAGGACCATAGAACTTCTCTCCTCACTTGCCCCACTATTAATTTATTTTTATTTTTTCCTAAGTTCCTAGCTTCAGTGTTATATTGTCATGCATTTTAATTTTATATTTATCTACCAGTATCATTGGTTTTTATTCCTCCCTGTATTTCTGTGTTTTCAGTTGCAATTATTTTCCTTTGCAGGAAAAAAACTCACTTTACTTGAAGCTGCTGACAACAAATTCTCTCAATTTTTTTGATATAAATTTTTATTTTCTTTTTATTTGGAGGATGTTTTCTTTTAGGTACAGCATTCTAGTTTGGCAGTTTTATTTTTTAGCTCTCTAGTAACAGCATCATATTATCTTCTAGTTTCCATTGCTTATGTTATAAAGTCAGCTATAGATGACATTGTTGCTGTTTCAAAGATAATGTGCCTTTTGTTTAAATCAAAATATTCCCTATGTATTTGACTTTCAGTAAATTGAGGTTTCATTTGTATATATTCTGCTTTAGGTACATAGTTCCTTTTAACTTTGAGCTTTCTTGTCTCATTATTTTGGGAAAATTTCTAGCCACTGTTTTCACTTAACGCTTTTGTTTCCTTCTTCTCTTACCTCACATCATATCATCTTACCTAACCTCACTTTCTCTTATTTCTCTCTTTCCTTTTATTTGGGGGTATTTAGAAGAGATGCTAAACCTTTTGATCATGTCTAATAAATCTTGTATGCTTTGTAATGTATTTTTTTCTGTTATCTACTCTATTTTCTGATGACTCATCTTCCTGTTCACTAACTCTTACTCTATGTTCTTAATGTTATTTCTAGAATTACCATGTGATTCATACTATCAATGCAAGAAGTCTGCTGACAGTATCGTATACCTTGTTGTATACATTAATCATAGTTATTTAAAAACATCTAAAAAGTCCAATAACCCTTGTTTTTTTTTATCACTGGGTTTCAGTGACATAGCCCTGCATCCTTTTAAATCTGCTAGTTTTTGAGAAAATGTTGAATACAGTGTATGAAAAGTTAGAAAGGTAATCTGAGATTTTTTAATGTAGGTATTTTCAGCCATAAGGGATTCTCTTTTGTTTTTAGGAGGCAGGAGAGTAGGAGCAAATCAATTTTTTTTTTTTTTTGAGACAGAGTTTCACTCTTGTCGCCCAGGCTGGAGTGCAATGGTGCGATCTTGGCTCAGTGCTACCTCCACCTCCCAGGTTTAAGCGATTCTCCTGTCTCAGCCTCCCTAGTAGCTGGGATTACAGGTGCCTGGCACCATGCCCAACTAATTTTTTTTTTTTTTGTATTTTTAGTAGACATGGGGTTTCACCATGTTGGCCGTGATGGTCTTGAACTCCTGACCTCAGATGATCCATCCGCCTCAGCTTCCCAAAGTGCTGGGATTACAGGCATGAACCACTGCGCCCAGCTGGAGCAAATCAATTTTTATCAGCCTGTGATAAGATTGATTCAAAGTTGGATTTCTGCCTTTGCAAATGGGCTTATTTGGGTTTGCTCTAATGCCAGTTGAAAGCCTGAAGTGTTTACCGAAGCCCATCTTCTTTGGCAGGTCTTGAACTAAATGTTTGTCTCTGCTACCCATGAAACTGGCAAACCTCCATTCAGCTTCTTAGCATTTTGGCTAAAATTAAAATATCAGCAAATGTGTAGAAAAGTGCCAAGTGTTAGGCTCCCCTCTCAGCACTCCTCTTGCTTTCTGGGATCTTGGTGCCTCAAGTTCTGGCTGCATTGGTAAACATCAATCCTTATTTTCACTTTTCTTATCCCAAGATACTGCCCAAAGCTCTGATTGACTTCTCAGTATCTGGACCCTTTACATAAATAAGCAAGGGAAAGGTGGCACAGAAATTTGGCACTGCTTGGTATAATTCTTCTCTGCAAGTTCTTGGTTTCTCAAGGGCTGGTTGCTGAAGTAGTTCTTTAATATTTTATAATAATTAAAACCATTTTTAAAGTTTTTATAATTGTTCTTCGTGATCTGTTTTGTCTTCTATAGGCCAGTCTTTCTTATTGGATTATAGTGATTTTATTAGGCTATCAGTAAGTAAACAAGGTATTTTTTAAAGGAGACATTGAATCACTCTATAAAATATGAAATAAACTCTTTCTTGATTAAAGTCTTTGGATACAAGCTTTCAATTCTTTGCATAATAATTATTGTAAAATATGATAACACATGCTTGAAAATGAAAAGACTAAAATATAAAGATTTATTTGTTCTATCCCCTGAAAAGACAGCACTGATTCTATCACACACAGATATAGGTATTTATCTTCCTATAGATCATACCTAATATTCTCAGAGTTGATAATATATTAGAGAATTATAATGCATATCATATATGTATCTCTCAGGTTACAGAAATTTCAAATGGTGTAGTAAAATTAATTTTTTGAGGTCCAGGAGATTATCAGATTAACTGAATCATAAGGTGACTCACAAAATATATGAGAGTAAACAATTATATATAGTAGAAAAATATATCTGAATCTGCATTCATTTTTGAACTATGTATTTACTCTACCTAGATGCAAATCTTTTCCCCAGTCTGCCTGTTTCCCATATTATTCCCATATTATATGTAAATATTTCTATATAGACATGTATATAGAAATATATAAACATACATATGTATCAGTCTGCATATTTATGTATGTGTGTTAGTCTGCCTGAAGCTGCTATAACAAAACATCACAGACTGTGTAGCTTAAACAACAGAAATTTAGTTTCTCACAGCTCTGGAGTTTGGAAGTCCAAGATTAAGGTGCCAGCAAGGTTGGTTTCTGGTGAGGCCTCTCTCTCTCTCCTTGGTTTGTAGAAAGCACCTTATTGCTGTATCCTCACATGATCATTCTCTGTAAGAGAGAGCTCTTGTCTCTTTACCAACTAAAAAGGACACCAGCCCTGTTTGCCTAACAAGGCAAATTTCCTTAGATATTAAGGCTCACGCATAATCCTCTTTGGTCTGATGCGCTGCCTTTTGGGTCCACTGGGGTAATAGCGTCACCTCCCCTACTCTGCACAGAAGCCCCATCCCTGTGGCCTGGGCAGCCCTGCCCCTGAGGTACTGGGCAGTGGCATTCTGCCCTGCTGAAACCCAGGAGGTGGCCCTCTTCCTCTGAGACCAAAGAGAAAACACCTTTGCCTTGTTGGGTATGTGATGGGAGTAGCAACTGTGCTGCTCTCTGAATCACTTTCAGGGCTGTTCTTCCTATTTCTTGAAGGATAATGCATGTTTGAAGCCAGTTAATTCTATTGTCTTGTTCTGCAGAGTCCCAGAAGTCTGACAGCCTTCCTTTATTACATCCAATTCTCTCTGTTTTGTTTATTCCAGCTGTCAGTGCTTCTGCTGATGTAATTCCATCTCCGTTCCTGTCCTCAGCAGAGATGGCTGATTAAATCCATAGGTAATCTCTTTAAGGAGCAAATTTCCAGCCACACACTTTGTCTCTCTAGAACATGCTTTCCACTTTTTGCAACATAGTTAGTCTGATAATTTTCCAAAACTTCAAATTTCCAGCCACACACTTTGTCTCTCTAGAACATGCTTTCCACTTTTTGCAACATAGTTAGTCTGATAATTTTCCAAAACTTCAAATCCTGGTTCCATCTTGCTTAAAAATTTCTTCAATTTGTATATCTTCTCTCACATTTTACTCTAAGCAATAAGGAAAAATCCAGCCTCACCTTCAACACTGTGCTTCTACATCTCTTCTGCCAAATATCCAAGGACATCACTCATATTTTACCTTCCACAAGAGACTAGAACACAATTCAGTGAAATTCTTTGCCACTTTATGGCAAGACTGCCTTTCCTCCAATTTCCAATAACATATTTCTCACCTTGAGACCTCACCAGAAGCACCTTTGTTCATGTATCTACCAATATTCTGTTTAGGATAATATAAGTATTCTCTAAGATGAGACATTTTCTCTAAAGATCTTCTTATTTATCTGTATATATGTATGTGTGTATACATATATACATATACACATATACATATATGTATACATTTATACACATAAACACACACAAAAATTCTAACCTTCAGTCTGACATATTAGATGGGATCTTTGGGAGGCAATTAGGTCACAGGGTGGAGCCCTCATGATTGAACTTAGCACCCTTATAAAAGGAACTCATAGTTCTCTTGCCCTCTTTCTGCCATGTGAAGGTACAAGAAAATGGCAGTCCGCAGAGAGCACTCATCAAAACCTGACCATGTTGGCACAGTTATCCCAGACTTCCAGGCTCCAGAACTGTGAGAAAATAAATTTCTGTTTTTTATAAGCCACCTTACTCTATGAAACGTTGTTATAGCAGCTCAAACTAAGATAGACAGACAGATAGATACGTAGATATATAGAGAGATGATAGCACATTTTTAACTGGAAACATCATCATCTTTTTAACTCAAAAAAGTAAAAGATGCATTCTTAGTAGAATTATTCTTACACAGGCAAGACATCTGCCTCTATCAATTCAAATGTATAGTCTAACTTCAGCAAGAATATCTCTGTAGGGGTAATTGTAATATCTGGTAAATAGTAAGCATAATTTATAGCTTAAGAGAGATTTACACTAATTTATACTTGACCAGAAATTAAAAAAATATGTCAATGAAAATATTGTTACAATAAACAACTCAGGAAATGGGAATTGTAAAGCTCAGAGCATGGCTCCCTAAGTTTCATTTAAGTAAGATCAGAATTTTTGGAATACTTCATTTTAAATCATGCATATTCAGAACACTGGCTAATGGAATAAAGTTTAGTAATATATTTAAATATGCAGTCTCAAAAATGTTGTCACTATGAAACATACAAAAACAACCAGGAGTATTTAACTTGAATACACAGTCTAAGTAGATGTACATATACATAACCCATTACAAAGTCCTAAAACCGAAATCACTTCATTTTATCAGTAGAGTCTGAAGGCCATTCAGTCATTTGTTTTTCCCCTGGGATATTAGCACTATTGCAAAACCCAAAAAGAATATTTTTTCCACAATCTAATTTTTTTGACTAATCTGTTTGACTTTCTGACATTACATTTGCATTTTTTAGTAACCTCTACAGTTATAAAACATTGCTTTTTAGATGAATTCATAATAAAAATTATTTTAATAAACCTTATGATATGTTTTTCTCGCATTTTCATTGTTCGCATGCATAGAAATTGCTTCCTATTCCATCAGATCTTCTCATTTTACTGGGGTATTTTTAAGTCAGTTTGAGTAGTTGTTCATAAACTTTTATTTTTATAAATTGTGACACTCTTGTGGGTAAAATTTACACTTTAACTAGGAATGATGGTTCACTATAGAATGATGCTTTTCTGACAGTTGTTGATTTGAGAGCATGTCTCTGTTAACTTTAATTCCATCTCTTTTTTTCCCTGTAATGCTCAAAATGCCAATACATCTTCATTTACCGGTTGAAAATTCCTCTTCCCAAGGCACCAAGGGTCTACTAAAGAGTATGTCACTAAAACTGTTGCATTTTTGCAAGCTTGGGCATCACATATGGCTCACGCTAGACTCAGATAGCTGTGTGGAGCAAATGCTCAAATCTGTGCCAGAATTTGTTCATTTTAACATCACTGGGACTTTCAAAGAACAAATGCCATCTATGTGAAAATAACACACTATTAAAGGATTTAATAGCGTTACTCATAATGGTTACCTTAATGATAATGCTGAATTGATCTATTCTGAAATTTATTCCAGATTAAAACATCTTGATAGACTGTTGCTGCTACTGCTACTGCTGCTGCTGCTGCTGCATCCCTAGATTTTTCTTCATATGGCTATAACTTTTGATATGCCAATAGGAACCATATCAGTGACAGAAGAATAAGGATGCTCGTGGAATCCTCAGGGATAGAAGCAGCAGTGTGTAGCAGCTGGAGTATGAAGGCTTATGGCAGAGGCAGCAGTGAGTGGAGGCAGAGACAAAAAGGAAGGATCCAGGGTAATGCAGGATTAGCAGGAGAGATGACAATGTTAAGGGACAGTTTAGGGGAAAAAGTAGAATTTTGTTCTAAATAAGCTGCATATTCTGATTTCAGTGCTCAGTCCATTGTATTTTTTTAAGTTTTAAAAAAATTCCAAGTTATATTTTATTTCCTCATTCATAATACAATAATAAGCATATATTAATATTTAATGTGTGTGTTTTTTATGTGTATTTCATGCCCTGGGTCTGTTGTAGATATTGGAGATATAGTGTAAATTAACAAAATATTTTAAGAATTTCTTCCTAATTGAAGGTGGCATTCTGGTCTATGAAATCATATACTATAGAACAAGCATATATATTGTCATAATTATTAATACAATGAATGTAAAATGCTTAGTGAAGTACATAATGTAAATATTAATCTCTAAATAAATGTAACATTGTTATTTTTGGAAAATGTGTATCACTAATGCCATATCAAAGAGCTAAAAACTCAAATACATAAATCATCTTCTAAAACTTGCCAATGAATATTTTATACAATGTTTATAAATTAATGTTAATATTTATGTATAATGAAATGCAAAGCTCTTAAGTGTATATTAAGATGAATTTTGACACATGAATGCACAGTACAAGTAATAACCAAATCAGAATATAGAACATTTCCATCCCCAGAGAATTTCCTCATGACCCCTTCCTGTCAAGCTCTTCTCTACTCAAGCCCTCTATATTTATATTTCTATTCCCATAAATAAATCTAGCTTGTTCTGTAACTTCATCACAATGGCACAAATAGTATGTATTTGTTTTTTTTTTTTTTTTTTTTGATCTGGCTTTTGTTTTTTTTTGGTCTGGCTTTTGTTTTTTTTTGAGATAGAGTCTTGATCATTGTTGATTTTATTACTGAATGTATTATTGCATTGCATTTTATGAATATACTATAATTTTTAAATCAATTATTCTATTAATGAACACTTGGTAGTTTCTAGTCTTTGACTCTTACCTATAAAGCTTTCTAAATATCCTTGTACAAGTAGTTTTGTAAACATGTATTTTCACTCTTTAGTAAATACCTAGCTGCATTATGGTGCTTTGTAGGAAACTACCAGATACTTTTCCAAAATGGTTGAAAATCTTATACACTACCAGTATATTAAGAGTTTATGTTGCTGCACTTCCTCCACAACTTTAGTTGTCATCAGTTGTTTCAATTTTAGGCCTTCTAGTAGATAAAAGGCCATAGTCATAGCTCATTGTAGTTTCAATATTTGTTTCCTTGATGACTGATCAAATAAGCACCTTTTTATGTTCTTACGGGACATTTGTGTAGATTTTGCTCATTTTTCACCAGGTTTGACTTTTTTATGTATTTTGCATACAATTTGTCAGAGAGATGGTGTTACGGGCTGAACTGTGTCCCCCAATATCCATATGTTGAGACCTAAAATCCCCAATGTGACTGTATTTAGAAAGGTGTATAAGGACGTAATAAACGTTAAATCAGGTCATGAAAGTCTTAATCTAATAAAACTTGTTTCCTCATAAAAAGAAGACACACCAGAGATTTCTTTCTCTTTCTGAACAGGCACAGAGGAGAGGCCATGTGAGGACATGGTGAGAAGGCAGCCGTCTACAAGCCAGGAAGAGAGGCTTAACCAGAAACCAATTGTGGTGGCACTTTGAAGTTTGACTTCTAACCTCCAGAACTACAAGAAAATAAATTTCTGTTGTTTGAAATACCCACCCTGTGATATTTTATTATGAAAGCCCTAGTAGACTAATACAGATTTTTAGCAAATACTTTTCTTTTAGGCTGTGGCTTATGCTTTCAAGGGTGTGAAGTTATTTCCCCTATTTTTTCTTCTAGAAACTATTATTTTAAGCACTCTGCATGTATGCATGACCCATGCGAAAATATTTTTTATATGATGTGAGATTTTGCCATTAAACGATCACAGCAACTTTGTTGAAAGCCACTTAGACTGTGCATCTACTATAGACTACTAAGTGTAGACTTCCTACTCTGATCCATTGTTCTACTTGTTTATTATTATGTCAATAACACCATCTTGATTAATGAAGCTATATTATAAGCCTTATAATATTTTATTTTTATATTTTAAAATTATATTTACATATATAAAACATTTCATATTTACATAATATAAAATATTTACGTTTTATCATACTTTTATATTAAATTTAAAATTTATATTTTATGTAGTTATATATTAAATACATAAATATATAATTCTTATTATAAGAAATCAGGCAATGTATGTCCTCCAAATTTATGGTTGCTTTTAGTGTTGTTTTGACTATTCTAGGTCCTTTGAATTTCCAGAATAATTGGTTAGTCCATTTGTAACAAATTGGTTGTTGGGATTTTTTATTGGGGTTTCTTTGAATCTATAGAATAATTGGATAACAAACATTCTAACAATATATAATCTTCCAATCCATGAAAACTATTTGTCTTGCCATAGACCTTCTTTACCATTTCTCCCAGAAATGGTTTTAATGTTTAGTGCAGATATATTGCATGTTGTCCACTAAATTCATTGCTATGATTTTATTGTTTTTATGCCACAGCAAATGGTATTGTGCTTCAATTAAAATTTTCACTTGTTTGTTGCTGTTACATACAATTGTTCTTTTATATATTGACCATGTATCCAGTGAATTTGAAAAAAAAGTTATTACATTTATAAAATATATTTCTCAGGATTTTTCACGAATCCAATCATTTCATGTATGAGTAAAGAGAGGCTTAGTTTCTTTTCAGTCACGATTTTGCTGGATAGCACTGGCAAGACCTCTAATATAATGTTAAATAAAGCAATGAGAACTCACATTCTTGCCTTAGTTCAAATCTTAGTAAGAAAGCATCAATATTCTGCCATTACATATGATGTTAGTTCTAGGTTTTTCAGAAAAATACTTCATCAGATAGAGGAAATTTTCATTTATTCTCATTTTACTCTGAGCTATTAACATGACTAGATATTAAAGATTGTTTAATGATGTACCCATAATATTTCTCTTTTATTAGAGTCTCATTTTGGATTAATTGCTCTTCAAAAGTTAAACCAATCCTGCATTCAATAGATAACGTTCCACATAGTAATGGATTATAATTTATACTTATTATTGGACGCAATTTGCAAATATTTTCTTTAAAATATTTTTATCTTTGTGTGTTTCACTGAATTTCTAGATGTATAGGTTGATATTTTTCACCAGTTTGACAAGTTTTAAGCCATTGTTACTTTTAATATTTTTCTCTCTTCTCCTAGAACCACACTCATTGCTATATTACTTGATATTTTCCTATATATTACTAGATCTTCATTTAATTATTTTATTATTTTGGAAGCTTCACTTTAGATCATGTCTATTGACCTGTCATTGATTTCACTTATTCTTTTTTCTTTACTGTCTAATAAGCTGTTTAACCCATTCAGTGAATTTTCTTTCATTTATTGTACTTTTCTAGTATTTCCATTTTCTTTTTATAGATTTCATTCTTTTGCAATTTCAAAATTATTCTTTCATATGTCCAAATTTTTATTTACTTTCCTTAAATATATTTTAACAACTGTATTAAATCCTTTTTGTTAACTCAAAATCGATCTCATCTGGTAATCCATTTTTACTGACTGCTTTTGCTGCTAAGTATATGTCACATTTTCCTGTGTGTGTGTGTGTGTGTGTGTGTGTGTGTGTGTGTGTGTTTTTACATAGCTAGTACATTTTTTGAAATTCTGCACATGGTCAATGTTATCTTAAAAGGAGAGATAATTTCTTTCTTTATATGGTACTGGTTTGTTCTGATAATAAAACCCTAACAGATCTTCTGTATTTTGTTTAGCTTTAGTTATGATGTCTTTATTTTTGTTAACTTCTTAATTCAACGGTTATATTCTGATTCAAAGGTGGTGTCCTTATCCCTATAAAACTTTCTGGGTTCTTACGTAAATTTCCAAGGGTAGGCTAGAACTCTAATGGCTCCAGTACTGTATGACCTCTTATAGTTTCCAGTCGGATCTGAGCTGAACAGGAGCTATTGTCTACAAGGTAACAAGCAAAGTGCTCAGCATGAACATATGAAGCTCAGTTATTAGGTAAGTACTCTCAAACATTTCCAGGAAGAATTTTGGAATCCTTCTTTTGCAGAATTATGTATCTTCTCTCTCTCTGATCAAATTCTAGGTGTTTTGGTAGCTCCAAACTAATTTTTTTCTCCATATCAATGTGCACCAGACAATATGTTACCAGACAAAATGCCAGATTGAATGTGGAGCTCGTCTGTATGTATTTTCCTTCTTTCAAGGATATTTCAAGAAATATACATAGCCGGGCGTGGTGGCTCACGCTTGTAATCCCAGCACTTTGGGAGGTTGAGGCGGGCGGATCACCTGAGGTCAGGAGTTTGAGACCAGACTGACCAACGTGGTGAAACCCCGTCTCTACTACCAATACAAAATTAGCTGGGCGTGGTGGTGCAGGCCTGTAATCCCAGCTACTCAGGAGGCTGAGGCACGAGAATCACTTGAACCCGGGAGGCAGAGGTTGCAGTGAGCGGAGATCGCGCCATTGCACTCCAGCCTGGGCAACGAGAGCGAAACTTCGTCTCAAAAAAAAAAAAAAAGAAATATATATATATATATATGCCTTATAGCTAACTTCTAGAGTAAACAATGATAAAGAAATTAGAAGCAGAAAGATAAAGATAAATTTACTTCAAAGAGCCAACAGATGGTAGCAAACTTCTTCACAAAAATATATTACAAGAAACAGAGTCAGATAAAGTGTTCAGGTAACCAAAAATTGAGAAATTCTTCCACAAGGAGACCTCTCATTCTAAAAAACTTTGAAGATGGGATATTTGATCACAAGAAAAATTTTTCTTGATGAAATTGTTGAGATATAAGAAAAAAATGGAAAAGAACAACAAAAGGTTATAGTATGTGAGTGAATTTAAATAAATATTGATGATATAAAATAATTCTCGTTGTATATTTTGGAGTTCAAGAGTTCAAGAGAAAGAATAAAAGCAAAGTAGAATTAAGATAAAAATAACTGCTGCAAAGAAGCTTATAGAGATAAATGATGTTAAAATGTTCAAAGATCTTAGATCATGTAAGAGGAGGAAAAACATTGATAGACATATTATAAAATTAAGCAAATATATTTCAATGACTAGAGTAGCATCAAAACCATTGGAAACAGCATACAACTTTCAAATAGATAGGAGTTTCCTGTGGACTATTTTGGCTGTAATTTCTGCTATTTTCTGTTCAAAGTATCTTATTTTCTATATTCTGAGTTACTTTAACCTTAGGCTGATCATTTTCCTTATGATTTTATTTGTATAAACATTTAAGACCCAGGATGATGGTGGGTCCCTACAGGAAAGATGTGTAAATGTTTCTACCATTTGCTTTGGAATTGCAAGATATGTCAACATATGTAAAGTGTCAACAAAATAAATAAATGCCATATGTGAAAACTTTTAAGTAAAAACATTATTGAAAACCCAAAAACATACAGATACACAGTTTTTCAAAGAAAACAATGATAATTCAGAGCACAGACTTTTTAAAAATAGTTGTTACATTTGTAAAGTAAGTTATATGTTAAGAATCACATACAATATAAAATAATTGAAAAAAATTGCATAATGGCACAGAGAAAAATGTTGATCCTTGTACATATTATCAGTACAGTAACTCTATTCTACATGTATATAAAAATAAAAATGTAAAAATTTGGATTCTAGATATTTACTGGAGCAAAAATATTAATGCTCAGAGCAGAAAGTTAGAAAACTCAGCAGTTTTATAACTCATGAAACATTTTTAATGAAACAGAAATGTAACATTATGAAATCTTGAGATAGTAGAAATGAAGTATGATTAAACTATTTTAAATTTAACCAATATTCATATTCATATATGCATTGAAAAATTATACCTTTTTCTAAGTTTGATTCTTGAAAATTATAGTTAGTTTTAAATTATTTATTTTTTCAGTGATTTTGTCACATTTAAAATTCCCCCTTGAAAAATTGCTTTATTAAAGTGAAATATTTGAATATGGAGTTTGAAGAGTAACAAATAATTTTTCTTATAATCAGTTGTAAAACATATATAATTTTCAACATTAGTTTAGTATCTACATGTATTTTAATCCTATAAAAGCAATATTTTTATTGTAACCAGAAATTAGATATTCATAATGCTAACAGATTTTTAAATATTATAGCTATTAGTATATATAACTTAAATATTTCTAATGTTTGAAATTTCCTATAAAACTGGTTCTTAAACCCTTCAACTACTAGAAGCCTTTAATGCAGATTGATAAATGTGTACTTTACCTAATTTATAATAAATATGGCATATTAAGTACATTTTCTTTCTTGACTCTATATTTCCAGAATTTTAATTCAGACTTCCATAAGAATCAGGAAATTATTTACTTTGACCTAAATTAATTTGAAACTCCCTACAATGGTACTTTGTGAACTTCGTGTTTTTAGTTATTTCAGTTTCTGACATTTGTGTATCAATATTTTTAAAGTTAGTCCATTTTCTTACATGTGTTCTATTCAGCATGCTTCCACCAAAAAAAAAAAAAAATTAAGCAATTATGGCTTTCTTCCATTTAGATTATGTGGGCAGGTCTGTGGGGGTAGTACAGAAGGTATATTTCATCTCAAACATAAACAGGAAGCCAATGTGCTATGGAATGAATGTTTGACCCCTGTGAAACTCATGTTGAAACTTAATCCCCAATGTGGCAGTATTGAGAGATGGGATCTGAATTAATTAATGTAAATTCCAGTAGACTCAACACACTGGCATCAACCATTATAATTACAACAATTTTTATGAAACACTTATATTTTCAATACCTGTTATCCTTTTTGAAATAATAAGGACAGAGAATGTAAAAGGAAGTGGAAAAGCACAGTGTGGTTAAGAGATTCATAAAATTGTGCTTGGATTATAAAACACTTTAAAATACCTTGAGACATTTTTGAACCAAAGTTTGTCAGAAATATCTATACACATGTAATTAATGACAACTATAAGTAAGCTAAGACAGGCTGGGCTGAGAAGGTGGTATTAGGTTTTGGGGGCAGAAGTCTTTGCAGAATGTAAAGTATAATAGGATAGACGGTATTTCAGTGGAAACCTACTGATTTTTTTTGTTTTCCTGTATTCCTTTCACTTTTCTGTCTGTCACTCTTATTTCTTTCAATCCTCTTTGAGCTTTTTTGCTCTTTTCCTTTTATTTCTCCACTCTTGCTCTCTCACCCTCTCTCTCACACACTCTTCTTCCCACAATTCCTTCGTCCCTCTTTCTCCTTTACCACATCCCTTTCAGAAACCTTTATTGAAGATATATTATGTGAAAGGTATGAGGTATTCACAGTTGAAGACCATATTTTCAGTTTCATATCGGCATATCCCATATTCATACTCAGCCTCTGGCAGCACACTCCTAAAATATATGGTCAAAGCACAAACTGAAGAATAAACAAGACGATCACTTCACCTCAGTTTCTTTTTCTTCCTTTTTAATAAACATTTGCCAAATAACTGCCATATGCCAGGTACTTTTCCATGGTGCTGAATGTAAAGAGAATTACAAATTGAATTTTGGGTATTTAGTAGGAGGGTTAAATAGTAATGTAAAATCTAAAAAATCTTTACAGTTATAGAAAAAAAGAGGGAAAGAAGAAACCATTAAACAGAACCTATGTTGGACCCTTTTTTTTCTTTTTTTTTTTTTAGCTCGCTTAATCTTTGCAACTTAATGAAATAGTTACTATTATCTTCATTTTAGAAGTGAAGAAAGAGAGGCTCATATAGATTAATTATCTTTACAGTGACATTTCGCATGCATCAAATGCCAAAGACTATTTCCTTACACTCTGCTTTTTCTTTTTTTTAAATTTTACTTCAAGTCCTGGGTTACATGTGCTGAACGTGCAGGCTTGTTACATAGGTATACATGTGCCATGGTGGTTCATTGCACCTATCAACCTGTCATTTAGGTTTTAAGCCCTGCATGCATTAGGTATTTGTCCTAATGCTCTCCCTCCCCTTTCCCTCGACCCCCCGACAGGCCTTGTGTGTGATGTTCTCCTCCCTGTGTCCATGTGTTCTACACTATGCATTTTGAAGAATGAATACAAGTTTGTCAGGTACAAAAATACAATAACACTCTAATGAAGAAGGAGAAAGGAAAAAAAACAGCATGAACAAGAATAAAAAAAAGATTTGCTGACACTTATATAGCATATACTATATTCGATTATGAGTACTATAAATACAGCAAATAATTTAATTCTCCCAGTCCTGCAATAACTTATGTAGGTAATATGTAGGATTCAAGGTGGCAAAAATAGATTATGTCTAATTTTTTAAAAAAGCAATGCTAAGAACTTTGATCCTTGTTTTCCTGAAAATGAAGAATTAATGAACATTTGCAATTCATCCAAATCACTAGAAAATATTTTAAAATAATATCTATATGGGATATAAAAATAGTAAGAATCATATTATTCAAGTTAATAAAGTATTATGGTCTTAATTGATACTTTCAAAAATAGTAAACTACCTAAGATCAGATCAATGATGAAGTCCATTTTGGATTTTTTACAAATCTCATAATTGATCAAGACAGCCTTAATGTTTTCCTAAGCTTGACTAAACTTTAGATAAGCTTCTTCCTGCCTCTAGGTCTCTGACCTCCCTGTCATCCCAACCCTTATAGAATCCAGATGGCCTAATCACAGAGGTCTCTTTCCTCTCTTAGAGCCTTTACTTTAGAAAACCTGTAAATTCAAGCTGGGCGCAGTGGCTTATGCCTGTGATCCCAGCACTTTGGGAGGCCGAGGCGGGCAGATCACTTGAGATCAGGAGTTCAAGACCAGCCTGGGCAACATGGCAAAACCCCATCTTTACTATAATACAAAACAGTTATCAGGGTATGGTGGCATGCGCCTGTAATCCCAGCTACTCAGGCGGCTGAGTCAGGAGAATCGCTTGAACCCACATGATGAAGGTTGCAGTGAGCTGAGATGGCACCACTGCACCCTAGCCTGGGTGACAGAATGAGACTGTCTCAACAACAACAACAACAAAACGTGTAAATCCTTTCTTTGTCCCTTTAAGATGTAATTTTTTTAAAAAGCTTCTTGCCAGGTGTACAAAGCAGGAATGTCTTTACCAAGAACCTGGGAGATCTCCTTTGGAAAAACTCAGCAGGGCTGGGTTGATACTGCTTTCTGATCTCTTTTCTCTATTGCAGTAGAGTTTTTTATTTTTTTTTAATTTTTGCCCTGTTTAACTTTGCACAGTCCAATTTTTGCTTTGATATAATTACAATCCTCCAAACTCTGAGGACAGTAGCATTTTGAAGAGTAAATATCTGGATTCAACATAATCCCCAAATTCCAAATTCTAACAGTGTATATAATGTTCTTAAATAATAGATTGATTACTCTCAATTTAGATTTACTTAAGTAACTAATAAGAAGCCATGTAAGTACAAAATAAACTCAAAAAGGACCTATACATTCGCTACTTACTTCTCTAATAACTTTATGTCTTAGTTTCAAAAATGATTCTCAATTTTTCATTTGTATGGACTTTTTTGATCTAAATATCGCATTCAAATATGACACATTTCTCCAACAATAACATTAGTATCAGTATGCATAAGAACCCTGCATTAATAGATTTTCCTTAGATCCTGTCTACAATTGAAAAAATATGGCTTAACAAAAATGGATGATATTCTTTGCATATAATTTTTAGAAGAACTCACATTTCATATCCACCAATATTATACAATATTAAGAGCTTTTCCATTATTTTTCTCTGAAGGTAGATAGCACTTAATGGTATTTGCAAGAATTATATAATTAAAGAATTACATTGTGTTAAAGTTGGATACTACCCTTCTGAAAAAAAATCTCTAAAATAAAACAAAGATAATTCTATTTTTTGAGTTCTCATAAGTAATACCTTCAAAGCCATAATCTTATCAGTATTTGTTAGTCTAAGGAATTATTTTCTATTAAGGAAAATATGAATATAAAAAGTCACAACTTTTGACACAGTTATCTTTCAATATGATTCTTATATTGTCAATCATGTTGTCCAAGCTACAATATGTTTAGCAATTTCCAAAATTCTTAATATTCTTAGCATCAGCTTTTGGGACACATGAAATTCTTTTCATCTTCATATTTAATCAAACTAAACAAGCAGATCAATCTACATTTCTCAACATGATTTTAATAAAAGATTCTGTATTTTCTATTCATCAGGGGACAGAAGATTCAAAGGCAGGCCTAGTCATTAAAGAGGAAGTGGATGAAGCAAGAGCATCAAAGATCTAGCTTGGCACAAATGAAAAGAAGGTAATTTTTTTCTTCTTCACTGTACCATATGCTTCCTAGAGTTCTCAGTTCTCTATTCTACAATTATCCAAAAAGAAGATAGAAAGAGTTTTAATTATTATTCTGTAAACAAAAACAACCCCTTAGGTAAAAGCTTTGGAATACCATTTCTATGCTTTAAAAATAGAAATTATAATTCCCTCACTCAATTGCCTTTCATTTTTGCCTCTTAATAATTATACAGATTATGTTTCCATTATTCTCTCAAAGATAAGGGCTGCAAATTTAGGCTGAACTGTTTCATTTACCTGTTTCTTGAAACCACTTTTGCTCTCCAATTTATCTACCTGGCCAATTGATCACCATGACCTATCAATTTCAGAACATGCTTTTTGAATCGTGGTCTTTTTACACACAGATAAATACGCTTAAGATACATATAGTAGTTTTTTTCAACGGATATTCCATAATCAAGTTGTGGTGTTAATCACTACTTTAATTATAAATAAAGCCATTTAAAATAAGTGGATTCACCTTGGGGCAGTCACTGGCTTGCAGGTGCAATGTTCAGCAAATTTTTGTTTCAGACAATAATGTCTAGAAATGAAGTAAACAAAAGTGTGCATAACACATTATTTCACTATAAAAAAACTGTGATATGAGATGTAAGCCCTTGCCTTGTTTTTCATTGTTGACAGTTTTTATATCCTGTGATTGGTATCATCTGATATTCACTCATAAGCTCAGCTTTAGTCCAGAGTCAGAAACACTCCAGACCTTGGTCCTCAATGATTTCTTGAGTTCTAGGTCAATGGCTTCCAATTAGAAATCAGTAAAGTTATCTAGAAGCACTTATGAAAGAGTTTCAATATTTAAAAATACCTCATACACAATCATCACTTACATTTACCTTTAAGGCTTCATTGATCTGTAGCTAATTAAAGTGCCAAACTTTTTTGCATTTAATTGGAATTAATATCAACTCCATGAACTTCCATATTACCTCAGGTTTTACTCAAGAGTGACACATATTATTTTGGTTTAGGATGTTTAGTTGATTACTTTGTCTCTCTCAGGATAATAGTGTTAAACCTGGCTCATTTATTTGACAGATAGTTGATAACAGATTTCAGATCTTTGCTAGGCACTGGGGATAAAGAAATAATAGACTTCACCTTGCTATCAGTTTGTTTCTAATCTGATTGGAGAGGGAGGTAAACCAACAACTATGATAGACAGTGATAAGTATATTAGCACAGTGCTAATCAAACATAGAGGATAGACATCTAACTCAGAACATGCAGAAACTGAAAGTAACACATGGTAGTATATACCTGTTTGCTTCCATTTGCCTTTCAAGGAAAAATAGCTTCAAACTGCTTCTGTGGGTCTTTCCCTTTTAACTTTGATTTTGACGAGCAAAAGCCCTTGTTAGCATATACCATGCAGTCCAATATGCACATATTGGAATATATGCATATTGGACTGCATGGCATATCCTAACAAGGGCTTTTGCCTGTTAAAACCAAAGCTTACAGCCAGGCGAGGTGGCTCACACCTGTAATCCTAGCACTCTGGGAGGCCGAGATGGGCGGATCATGAGGTCAAGAGATCAAGACCATCCTGGCTAACACAGTGAAACCCTGTCTCTACTACAAATACAAAAAAAAAAAAAAAAAAAAAAAAAAAAAAATTAGCCGGGCGTGGTGGCGGTCGCCTGTAGTCCCAGCTACTCGGGAGGCTGAGGCGGGAGAATGGCTGGAAACCGAGAGGCGGAGCTTGCAGTGAGCTGAGATTGCTCCACTGTGCTGCGGGCTGGGTGACAGAGGGAGACTCCCTCTCAAAACAAACAAACAAACAAACACAACCAATAAACAAAATAAAAGCTTACATAGATTACAGCTATTTCCAATCTCAACACTGTCTTAAGTTGGTTGTCTCTGCCAATGCTTTTCAAGTTCTAACCATTTCCCTTGCTATTAGTACCCTTCCTCCAGAGAAGCTGATCCATACTGGAGTTGTTTTTTTGTTGCTGGTTTTTGTTGTTTTGTTTTTTTTTTCCTACATGACTTTGTTCTCTCTTTGCAGCTGTTGGAAAGTAAGCCCTGCTAATGTGATCTCTGCCATTTTCTTTGTCTACCAAGATAGAATCATTTCAGATATTATCTTTTGCACCATGTTTAGTCCTTTAATTTTGGAGCTGCTGGACAGCTTAGGAGTTGATATTCCAGGTGCCTTTTTAGAGATTTGATCTTCTCAGAAAAGAAAAATATCTTATGCTACCTCCTAACGTTTCTATCAAAGACAGACACTAACTGACTTTCTAAATTCAAAGAGTATAGCCCTAGAATCATCATTACTTTATGGCTGGTGTGGAGATAAGAAAGACAAAGGAAAGAATACCCATCTCGTTTGCATATCCACTAATCCATTCTTTTCAAATCAGTATAGGTTTTTCTCTAACCAAATAGCATCCCGCCAAATTACCTATGAAGCAACCCTACTAACATTCTAATCTACTCCACCCAAAGGCAGAGGGTATTACATTGAACTTCTTATAAAATATTTTTATCACAGGTTTTGGACGTAGAGAATATATATCTTTAAAATACATTATCATTTAAAATAAGTATAGTAATTTTCCATGAAGAGGAGGAAAATATAGGAATGTCACAAAAGTATGCCAGAACCCAAATGTTTTTAAAAATGGAGGCAGCAGAAATTTTAATAATTGTTTTTGTTTATTGGGTTATATTATCATCACGTAATTGATACTTCAATATCCATTCTTATTGGAGTCAGTTATATGAAAGCTTTAAATAGTTACCCAAAAAGAAAAACAAAGGTATAAAGAACACTCATGGCCGGGCGCGGTGGCTCACGCCTGTAATCCCAGCACTTTGGGAGGCCGAGGCGGGCGGATCACGAGGTCAGGAGATCGAGACCATCCCGGCTAAAACGGTGAAACCCCGTCTCTACTAAAAAAAAAAAAAAAAAATTAGCCGGGCGTAGTGGCGGTCGCCTGTAGTCCCAGCTACTTGGGAGGCTGAGGCAGGAGAATGGCGTGAACCCGGGAGGCGGAGCTTGCAGTGAGCCGAGATCCCGCAGCTGCACTCCAGCCTGGGCGACAGAGCGAGACTCCGTCTCAAAAAAAAAAAAAAAAAAAAAAAAAAAAAAGAACACTCATTAACTGTTAGTGAGATTATTGTTTTTATAAATGGCAGCCAAAGTTACTTCCATGAACAGTGTCTTTAAAAGTAAGCTCTAAATTGTGTGTTTTGTAGATTCAGCTTGCCATATTTCCCAATGGAATTCAGGAAGTGACGTTTCCTTTACCAACTCAATAGCTACACTCCTGGAACATTAGCTTTGTCTGCTGAGGGATAAGAGAATTTATGGCTGGAGGATATGGTTCTAATTTACTTGAGATTTCCTGATAACTTTGCTTTTCTGGCTTTTGGCATCAGTGATCTAAATTGACAGATCAATTTGGGATAGAAACATGCACTTGTCAAGTTGTTTCCAAAAGTGAATCTGAGACCTAATGCTGTTTCCCAAGAACTGCTGCTGCTCTTTCTATTCCAGGCCACCCCTACTGAGAATCACTGTAATAGATTGATCGGTTCACAGATACAGAGCAAAATGATTGCACAGGGACAAAGTCATGGTGGTACCATATGGTAAGTCAAGGAAATAAATACCTCTTTAGGCATTGAATAAAATAGTTTTAAACCTCATGGTGAATAAAAATAATGTATAATATCATATTTATTCACTAATATATGTAATAGCTATTTTTTTATTCTCCACATTTAAAAATAGCAACCACAATCATAATTGTTTATGTTTAATGGTTCCTTAACACCAATTATTTAAAAAAAACAGTATATCAATCTGAAAATGCATCAGCATGCTAGCCATTTTTATATAAAACTTATATTCAAGAATATTTACATATTCTATACACATATTGGACTGCATAGCATATGCTAACAAAGATGTTTGCCTGTCAAAACCGAAGTTAAAAGGGGATAGACCCATAGTAGAAGTTTGAAATCAGTGTATGGTTATGTGGACACAGAGAAAGAAAATTTCTAGAGCAAGTTCCAATTTTCTGTATCTTTATGTGACTGCCTGAAATCAAATCCCATCACACCTTTACTTTAAACTGCTTCCTGCATCTATTGTATGCCCATAAGACTTATTCCCCACAAGGGGGTCTGAGTGATCTTTGTAAACATACAACAGGTCTTGTTGCATCACTCTTTAAGTTATCATTGCATTCTTTAAAGTATACCACTCTTCTATGGACTCCCAGGCTCTATATCATCTTTTCTTGAGTCCAATTCTGTGATATTAGCTGGGACTACACTTCCAATTACACTCTGCAATCCAAATGCTGTAAATTGAATTTCTCTGTGTTTCTGTACTTCTCCAGGCTTGCCCTCATTTCTGTGTCTTTGTACGTCTTGTATCCTCTGCATAGACCCCTTTTCTTCTGGACTATGTGGGTCATTCTCTGCTCAGATCAAAGCATCAGAGATACTTTCCCCTAGTGACAATTAGGTCACCTATGCTAATCAGTCTCTATCCCATTACCCAATTTCATTTTCTTCAGAATATTTGTCATTATCTGATTTTTACCTATAGACTATAAATACCTCTTGAAGGTTTTATGAGAATAGAGATTTTGTCTGTCTTTGTCTGATTCCATGTAGGCTACTATAACAAAATGCCATAGACAGGGTGGCATAACAATAAATGTTAATTTCTCACAGTTCTGGATGCTGAAAAGATCAAGGTGCTAGCTTATTTGCTTGGTGAGATCCCTCCTCTTGGTTTGCAGGTGGCCAGCCTCTTGCTGTGTCCTCACATGGTAGAAAGAGAGATCCTTTCTATTCTGCCTCTTCCTATGAGCACACTAATTTCATTCTTACTAATTTCACCATCATTGCCTGATAACTTCCTAAAGAGCACACCTCCAAATACCATCACATTGAGGATTAAGACTTCCACATATAAATTTTAGAAGACAAAAATATTTAGTCCATGTAAGTCTTATTCACCTCTTTATTCTCATTGTCCACAGCAATACTTGAAACATAACAAACATACGCAATGGACATTCGTTGAATGATAAATGTAAGTAACTTTCATTTGGTACCAATGATCTGATACTAAAGTTACATTGCATCATATCAGTTTCTTGTAGATTCAATTTTCCAACTTATTCTATTTTGAGATTCTATTTTTCTATGACCTTCACAGGGTCTTCTTGACTTATCTCTATTTCTCAATCCTGGAAAAACCCCACACTAGATTTTGAGTTATGGAGTAGTGATTATTTCCATAAGGATGCTGTAATTAACAAGACCCTCTTACAATGCTTCTGGAGCAAGCTAGAGTATAAATATATTTTAAATTAAAACCAATCCATAGACATATGGAGCCACCTCATCATCTCTTTTTCCATAGGTTGTACATTTTGTATATGTAAGTTTGTGTGACTTAATTTCTAGGGTTTAAAAAAAATTAATTTCTTGCACATTTCCATGGCTGCGTCCATAATCCAAAGCAAGACCCTCTAATAACAAATGGGGTATCTTTGCAATTTTCATGTTGTTTTAAAGTGTTAAATTTTATTTGGCTTAAAGCTGCCCCCACACATAGCAAACTGCAACTTAATTTAGTATGTAAAGGAACTGCAATCTAAATTAAGAGTATACTCTTTTAATAAGTAGCAGAATTTCAGCCAATGATAATAGCCAAGTTTTAGCCAATGGCAGGCTGCCAACTGACCATACCATGTTCAAATAAAGCCAATGATGAGCTGTAACCAATCAAGCTGTTTCTGCATATTTCTTCCTTTTTTTCTGTCTGCAAACACTGCCTGTTCACGTTGCTGTGGGGAGCTCTCTGAACTCCTTCTAGTTCTGACGTTTTTAGCAACTCATGACTTGTTCTTTCCTCGGATAAACTCTGCTAAATTTAATTTGTCTAGTGTTTTCTTTTAACAGTTTTGTGTCAAAAGTGGGGTCCAAAGTAGTCCACTAGTGACTCCCAGGAGCACCGAGAGATCAAGCAAAGGTACCTGTCAGGCCCATTATGCTCCTTGTTATCTTGCAGTAACTGGGGTCAAGGGTGAGTTCTCCCTCAGATTTGAGCTCCACAGATTTGCTTTTTGTTCTTCAAATTTATTTGAGCAATTTTTACTGAACTGGGATCTCGGATTGAATTGGATCCCATAAATAACTGGATCGAATCCAGAAAGAGGTCTCAGATACCTTAATAAACATGAGATTTTTAAATCCAAGGAGTCTGAGACTCCAGGAGACTAGGACTCCATTTTCTGGGATACTGGCTAACTTTATGTACAAAAATTATGAGCCCAGAATTAGTATATTTTTGGAGAAATGGGTTAACCTTACTAATGAAAACACAGAATTATGGTAACTAGTGCGGGGAAGTTTTAACTTAAATGTGTTGGCTTGTGAGGTGAGGTGCCTTAGAAAAGATAGAATCAGAAACACCAAGAAAGTAATAGGATGCATTATTTAATTGTTACACAGAGCCATCTAAAAGATTAAAGAATAAAAGATTACCACATCAAAAGCTTCCCTACAGAAGGCAAATGAAGAAAATCTTAAGTTTCTTGACAAATATTATTCAAACGATGTAGCCATCTGGGCAGAAACTCTTGTTCCATTGGCCAGTAAAACAATTTGGATCTAGAAGTTTTTTAAGAAATTAGTGGGTTATGTAGTATTGTCCTTGGCACATAACTAACATTTTTTAATTAAAATGATAAGAGCTATTTAGGTTTATATATTTATGTATGTCACTATGTATGATGAATGTGTGTAATATTTTTCTATCTTTTTATAATATTGCCAAATTAAAATGTAAAAGAGCTCTATCTAATCATCTTCAAAATAAGTGCTTATATAAATCAGGTATTCTGTTAGAAAAACTAACCTGAATACTTTTCAAGTTTACATGACTTGGCTAATCCTTGGTAAAAAAATATTTTGTGTTGATTAAATCTGGCATATCTTCGAAGTTGTCAGCATTAAATATATTGCAGACATACAACTATCTTGGTTTACTGGTGAAATAAGCTCATGTTATCTTTGTATTACAAATTTTTTTTCAGGAAGAAAAATAACTTAAGATGATGACTAGCTGCTTTGTCTCGTCTTTATAAGCAATCCAAGCTCAATAGCTAAATATAAGTAAGTTAAATAACTATAAGATAAAATTCCTATGTGAAAGATTTCCTCCCTATAGCACAAGGTTTTAACATTCTTATCACCAAAAATTGAAAATTATGGCTGAGAAAAATCTTTACAAGTAATTTAATTCTCAAGCCTAGCAAAGAAACCAAAGGACAGTGATCAAAATGTTTCCCCTCTCCAGTTTCTTATTTATTTATTTATTTATTTATTTTTGAGACAGGGTCTCACTCTGTCACCTAGACTGGAGTGCAGTGGCACAATCTCAGCTCACTGCAACTTCAGCCTCCCAGGCTCAAGCGAGTCTCCTGCCTCAGCCTCCTGAGTAGTTGGGATTACAGGCACATGCCACTACTGCCCGGGTAATTTTTGTATTGTTAGTACAGACGTGGTTTCACCATGTTGGCCAGGCTGGTCTTGAACTCCTGACCTCAAATGATCCACCCGCCTCGACCTCCCAAAGTGTCCCCTCTACAGTTTCTTATCACAAAGAGAGGCTAAAGATGTCTGTGACTGTTTGTAAACATGTTTTGTGCCACATTGATAAATTGTACTATGAGAAAGCACATGCTTCTAGACATCATGATTCATAAATTTGCCAATCTACATATTGCTCTGTGACAGTTTACAACTGCTTGCTTCCCACTGTTCACTGGAAATGAAGGTTACTAGAGTTAAGAATTTTAATTTATAGATGTTGCTTAATTTTTAAAAAATAATGAGAAAACAACTCTATATGCAAATATGTAAGGAAGGTAAAATGTGCTTTTGGTAAGAAAAAGCTATCAAGTATGAAGAGATTTTGTTTTAGTTAACGAAAAAGAAAGTATTTTTAGTCCCAAAGAAGAATGACTATTGTTTCAAAATAAAAAATAATACAGATAAAATAATTGAAGTGATATAAGAAGGTTGTAGAAGTTTGGTGGGAGAAGAATCTTGTGAAAGGAATTTAAAATGTAATCAAGCTGGCTAAGATTATAAGCAGATTATCTATAAATTTTTTCTAAAATTTAGTATTAATATCAAAATTATACAGTCAAAACTAGAATGTGACCTCTCTGCTAAAACGAGAACTTTTTTTTTGGAGCATTAGTCGGCTTTTTACAGGAAATTGTAAAAGGTTTTCTTTACCTTTTAGGTCATTGGAAAAAAAAAGATTTTGCATTTTACCGAGATAACTTTCTATGCTTTGTATTATTAGTTTCTGCATCACTCAAGAAAGTTAAATCCTAATAGAAGAGCTAAGGTTTTTCCACTACCATGTAACTTTCTGTATTTCCTTTGAAGTCTTTATCACTCTGGTTAAATGATTTACTATTTTTTCACAGTGACCTGTAATACTATTTTGATGAACCCTTGATATTTTTGACAAACTTCCCAAAATCAAATTCTAAAATATTTTTTATTGTTGTCAAATTAACTTTGAGATTTTCCAAATGGGTCCTTGAGACACCTCAAAAGGCTCTCTCTCCTTAGATAAAGATGAGTATTAAACTAATTGAGCTTATTTGATATATTAAATTATAAGAAAAACACTGTGAAATAATAAGTAATGCTAAACCTTTTTTGAGTTCTATTTGTATGGAGTGTTATTATTATGTGTTTGAGAAATTGTATGATATTCGTAGAAATCTTATCATACCATTTAACTGAGTAAGAATTCCCAGAACTCTAATAAAACAACTGAATGTTTTCATGCTAACCCAATTTCAAGCAGAACAAGAATTATTTGATTACTATGGAACTGCTGTGGCAGGTTTTCATTCTAAGGCAGACTAGGCTGAAATTGTTAAGATGTACAATTGAAATGAACTCTATAAGACTGATCCAAGTCAAAATGATCTATGTTAAACTATTTAATAAACAGTGCTATACACTTGAATTAGAGAAACAAAACTGGTATTTAAAAGTATGTAAATTCAGGCCAGGCGTGGTGGCTTATGCTTGTAATCTCAGCATTTTGGGAGGCCAAGACAAATGGATCACGAAGTCAAGAGATCGAGACCATCCTGGTTAAGATGGTAAAACCCCGTCTCTACTAAAAAATAAAAAAATTAGCTGGGCGTGGTGGCAGGCACCTGTAGTCCCAGCTACTCCGGAGGCTGAGGCAGGAGAATCACTTGAACCCAGGAGGTGGAGGTTGCAGTGAGCCGAGATTGCACCACTGCACTCCAGCCTGATGACAGAGTGAGACTCCATCTCAAAAAAAGAAAAAAAGAAAAAAGAAAAAGTATGCAAATTCAGTGTTGAGTGTGGACTCATGGAGAACCTTAATGGCTGCCTAATCCTTCCTGAGTATTTAAAGATTCTATTCTTCAAAGCTCTGCATTATATGATGCATCATAAAAGAGATAAAATAATATGTTATGAAAAAATGATGAGGTGACTGTTCTAAATCTAAAATTGTTCATAACCTATGTCTGATTTGTTAAACCCATAATCCTGAGAAGACAATAAAAACGTCAGATGGTACATTTCTTGCACCTGTTGGATCATTTGAACACTTACAGAAACATTTCATTCAGTTGCCACCTTCAATGCATGTTTTCTGTTTGTATGGAAGATTTCTCTTGCAGGAAGGCCAATATTATAAATAGTAGCTAAAACCTTATTAGTATCCCCTTATAGGGCATTCCTGGAAAAATATCCAGTGATAGAGGTCATCATTTCACTGGACAAGTTGTAAAACAGTCAGTTAAAGTATTACAAACACAATGGCATTTGGTGAAGCAAACTGAATCAATTAGATTTCTTTGGTCAAAGGTATTACCAATTAATGGAAGTCAGATTCACTCCTGCCGGAAAACATAAATTGACCACTTATGAAATAGTTACTGGAAGGCCTATCCCCCTAATCATAAGAACTTCATGTGACTTATGCTCTTATGAACTCTGACATGGCTCAATATTTTGAGACTTTAATCCAATATGCTAATGTATGTTTTTGCAAGATAAAATAAGCCCTTCATGTCCTGCCAACTGATGACAATCAGACCTTTCATGATTGAGAACCCAGAGATTGGGTTTTTGGAATTAGCACCAGAGAAAGACTGCCCTATAATTTAATTAAAAGGGACTGTAGCAAGTTCTTACCACCTATACATCAGAGCCTCAAGGATTGGCTTCACATTGTCTTAACTGAAGAGAACCTTAACTCCAGAACCTTGGGACTGTACACTCATTGGGGACCTCAAGGTATAATTAACCAAGGATGTTTCTCCTCAGAAGAAGATGACATCCTAGATGTGGGCAGCTTTCCCAAGATCATGGAACAGGAATTATCTCCTCCACCATGAAATCATTGTCCCCTTTCCTTTTTCTCCTGTGTGTTTTCACGTATACATGGCAAGATAATATGACAATTAAGATTTCATGATCAATAGCTTTTGGAGAGAACTTAACTGAATGTTACATATGGCATGTTACTAACAGCAGGTAAAACTTATAATGAGAGTTTTACAGTTAAATTATTCCAGAAATTTAATAAGAAGAAAGATAATTCAGTGGTTTGTAAATGAATTTACCACCCTAATCCCTTAATTGTAAGTAGCCTTCAACCATGCAATGATTCAACAATAGAGCCTTAGACAAATATCACTAGTGCTTCCCTACTGTGATTCCTAATGCATAAAGCATCCTACCATCTGTTTTGCCTCTCTAGTATATGTTTTTATCTATGTAGGATTTAACAACCAACCCTATGTGTGGGCAACTCCATGTCTCAATAAGTGGAAAATAAGGGGCTACTGTGGACTAAATATTCTGACAGTAGCATTATCACTCCATAACCAATTGGAAACTGAACATTGGTCTACACCTCTTAACATGCAGTATAGAATAAAGAGGAATTTGCCAGCAGGTAATAAATAACTCTGCTTGTAGGATGCTTCTTCCCTGGCTTAGCATAATGTAAATGAAGTTATGATTAGAAATCCGTCTCAAATATTAGCTACTATAGCTGACTCTACTACAAAGGCTACAGATGCCCAACAAACCTATTTAAATTCTCTTGCTAAAATTGTTTTAGGTAACAGGATTGCTTTGGACTACCTGTTGACTGAACCGGGGGAATGTGTGTGCTAGTTAACACCTCGTGCTAGACTTGGATAAATAAATCTGGTATAGGAGAAACTCAGTTGAACGGAATCAACAGAGAAGCTACTTGGTTAAAACAAGTAGCTTCCTCTTCTGGCTCTTTGTTGTTAAATTTAATTCTGTTTACTCGTGGGGGCTTCTGTTAAGGAGTATATTTCAGTCTCTTGGTATTTTATCCCCCTGATAACTATCGTAATAGTTTTCCTGGTGTGCCATATCCTCTTAAGAGTCTTAAATACTTGTATGTGGCTACCTCTTGTACATCAAGTGGCCTCACTCTGGTTAAATGACACAAAAAAAGGAGATAATATAAAGAATCATTCTTTATGTCATCAATTGTGAATTCCATACTGAGGACTAAACAAGCTCATTATAGTGATGGAGAGTAGCATCATGCCCAAGGATTTGGTCAATCTCTCAAAACTGAGAGGCTGACCAAAAGAAGGGAATTGTTAAATTAGTTATGTCCTAAAGCTGCCTCTGTACATAGTGACCTGCAATCTAAGTTAGTATATATAAACAAGCAGCAACCTGACTTAAGGGTATATTCTTGTAACAAGTAGCTGAGTCTCAGCCAATCATAGCAGCCAAGCTTCAGCCAATTACAGGCTGTCACTGATCAGACCATGTCCATATAAAACAAATACCTAGCTGTAACCACTCAAGCTGTTTCTGTATGTCACTTCCTTTTTCTATCTACAAATACTACCTGCCCACATTGCCATGTGAAGCTGTCTGAATCTCTTCTGGTTCTAAGGGCTGCAGGATTCATGTCTTGTTCTTTGTTCAAATAAACTCTGCTAAATTTAATTTGTCTAAGGCTTTGTTTTCTTTAACAACACTATATACATGCACATATACAAACATACACACATATAAGAACAGTATTTATGATGAACTATGTTCATTAGAGAATTATTCAGGATCTTAAATAATTGTTGACTGTAGTGGTGTTGTGATAATGTAAAATCAGAAATAGACATTTTCAAAGAAACTCTGTTCTAGTACATATCATACAGACATAATCCACAGTATAAAAACTGAAAATATAAGCTCTTGCTCTCTCTCTGAGAAAGAAAAGTATGAGGTCAAAATGCACATTTTTCTTTCAAATCAGAATCAGCTCTAAATAAAGGAAAGCTACAATACAGATCACAAAGAATTGAAAGTGCATTTAAAAATCTGGTATGGTGCTTTAATGTGTCTCTTTGTGCAGATAGGAAACCAAATTTACAGGCTTTCGAACTAAACAATGAGCTTTAGTTAACTGAAAATCAAATTCAAACAAAGGTCTCAAGAAAGACTAAATTTAATTATACTCTGCACTCCATCAAAAGTGACAGATTTTTTCTATTATATTTTCCTGACATTGAACGAAATAAGAAAAAAGTCTCTTATTGGCATATTGTTTTACTGAAAACTCTTTCTATCCACCTAAATTATACCTTTATATTTGCAAGGAAGTCAAAGTTTGAATAACATGTTTGAGTTAATTATGGAACACCATAAAAAACGAATCTCAGCTAGCTCAAAGATGAACTATTCTTAATTTTAATCTCTTTAGAAATGATCAAATTCAAAATGAACGTTTAAGATTTTGAAACTCTATTATAATATTATTCCTTTTTAACCTCCTAGTTGTTTCTTTTCTAAAATCTATACATATCACAGAGAGATTTTACTTTTGATCTGGCTATTTTAACTTGTACTCTTCTTTGTAGAGAAGGTTAATGTCAAGATTAAATAAGCAAGAGAGAGAAGAGAAGCAAGTCGATTGGCAGGAATTGTCTGGGAGCTGGAAGAAGCTTCCGGATGTGAGGTAATGGCAAAAGAAAGACACCCACAACTCCACACTCCTGCTATACCATTTTACAACCCTAACTATGGGAGAACTCCTCGACTTCTGTGGGCTTCAAGGCTAACAGAGGGAGCTGCCTAGAGAGTGCACAGAGGCATTGTTCGAGAGAGGGAAAACATATGGAGTCCCACAGGCATCCGAACCCTGAGCAGGTGCACCTTGCTACTATTCTGAGATCCAAGTCCCCAAAGGAAGCCAGTGCTGCTGTGGCTGGGCCAAAAAGATAGAGGAGAAACTGGGAACTTCCATGAACAAATCCCAGCATTGCTGCCGAGGGTTGTTGAGGAACCAAGACATGACCAAACTGCATTCCCACAGCTACCTGCCGGTGCTGCTCCAGCTGAAAGGATTGCCATCCTCCCTAGTGGCAAGTCCACAGGCAGCTCCATTCTGAGCCCAGTTTCCAAAAGTCTATGTCCTGCCCTGGGGCTAGTGCAGATGCTGCCACTGCTACCCAAGGACAAAAAAGGGTAGGGGAGGCCAGGCACTTTCACACTTCAAGAGCAAATTCTACCACAGCTACTGCAGGCTACTGTGATACCAAGGCACCAAGAAACCACATGACCCACAGCTACCTCGCTAGCCTGCTTCCATTGTGAGTGCCTTACCCTCCCTAGAGGCAGGCCCGCGGTGTACCCACACCTGATTACTCACCCAGCAGCCTGAGAACCACCCTGCCCCTGCCTAAGATAGCCAGTCCCTGAATTCACTACTGGGGGCCTGAGGACAAGACTGTGGCCTAGTCCTGTTCACTTTGTAATGATGTTTTCACCATCCAGGGGCCTAGAAGTTGTCCAGCCCATTCTAGCCCTGTTGGTGCCTGAACACTCCTTCTAACACTCCTTCTAAGGTCTGAGGTCCGGCAAACCCAACTTGCCCAGACTACCATAGCTTGCACTGATCTGCACACAACACCAGTGAAATGGGGCCTTGGCCTACCCACCCTGTTGCAGTCACTACTATCACTAGCACTACCACTTGTGTTCCAGTGAGTTGCTCCACCACTACCACAGCCATTGACCACATCACACCAGATGCCCAGGGTGCTGAGAATCTGCCCAAAACCTGGCCAACAACTGCCACTACTACCAGCATTTAAGCAAGACAACTGGAGGTCCAAGAATTGGCCCGTGTGTACCTACTAACACTATGGCCAACAAAGCCACCCACTAACACTACGGATCCCAAGACAGGTACGCTCATCCCACCTCTGCCACCAGGGGGGTCTGAAGACTGCCCATCTGGCATCCCAACAGATTATAAGTCGAAAACTGAAAAAAAGACAAAGAAGGTCACTATATATAATGATAAAGAGATCAATCAGTCAAAGGGATATATCAATTCTAAATACACTGGAGTACCCAGATTTATAAAGCAAATATTACTAGATCTAAATAAAAAGATAGACTCCATAAAATAACAGTAGGGGACTTCAACACCCCACTGCCTGCTTTAGATAGATCATCTAGGCAGGAAAATCAATGAAAAAAAAGGGATTTAAACTAGGCTCTAGACCAAATGGATGTAATTGACATTTAGAAAACATTCTATCCCAAAACTGCAGAATATACAGTCATTAATCAGCACGTGTAGCATTATTCAGAGTAAACCATATGTTACACCATAAAACAAGTCTAAATAAACTTAAAGAAATCAAAATTAAGTCAAATACCTTCTCAGACCACAGTGGAGTAAAACTGAAATCAACAACAGGAAATACTTTGGAAAGTATACAAATATGTGGAAACTAAGCATCATGCTCTTGAACAATCACTGGGTTAATAAAGAAATTAAGCAGAAAATTTAAAAATGCTTGAAACCGATGATACATACCAAAACCTGTGGGATACAACAAAGGCAGTGTTAAGAGGAAAGTGTATAGCAATATATTCCTACATCAAAAATGTAGAAATATATCAAATAACAATCTAACTTTGTACATTAAGGAACTCACAAAGCAGGAACAAAGTAAGCTCAAAACTAGCAGAAGGAAGGAAATAGTAAAGATCAGAGCATAAAGAAACCAAAATAGAGAATTAAAAAATAATACAAAAGATCATAAAAATGAAAAGTTGTTTCTTCAAAAAGATAAAATTGATAAATTACTAGCTAGACTAACCAAGAAAGGAAGATCCAAAAGAAAATAAAATCAGAAATGAAAAAAAGAGATTTTATAACTGACAAAAAGAGATTTTATAACTGATAAAAGATCATCAGAGAGTATTAGGAACAACTGTTATATGCTAACAAACTGGAAAACCTAGAGAAAATGGGTAAATTATTAAAAACATACAACTTTCAAGATTGAATCAGGAAGTGATGGAAAACCTGAACAGATTCACAGCAAGCATGGAAATTTAATCAGTAATAAAAAAGTCTCCAAACAAAGAAAAGCCCAGGACTGGATGAATTCACAGTGAAATTAGACGAGTCAAACAAAGAGAAACTAATATCAATCTTCCTGAAACTATTTCAAAAAATTGAAAGAGAAGGAATTCTTCCCTACTCGTTCTATGAGGCCAACATCACCCCAATACTAACCATTAGACAAGGACATAACACAAAAAGAAAACTGCAGGATGATATCCCTGATGAACATAGATGCAAAACTCCTCCACAAAACATTACCACACCAAATCCATCAGCACATGAAAAAGACAATGCACCATGATAAAGTGTGATATATTTCACAGATACAAGGGTGGTTCAACATGAAAACCAATCGATGTGATACAGCACATCGATAGATTGAAGGACAAAAATTATATAATTATCTCAGTAGATGCAGAAAAATCATTTGATAAAATTTAATATCTTTTTATGATAAAACTCCTCAACAAACTAGGCATTGAAGGAACATACCTCTAAATAATAAAGGCCAAATATGACACACCCACAGCTAACATCGTATTGAATGGGGAAAAGTTGAAAGCATTTCCTCTGAAAATTAGAACAAGACAAGGATGCTATTTTCAGCACTTGTATTAAACATAGTAGTGGAAGTCCTAGCCAAAGCAATCAGGCAAGACAAAGAAATAAAAAGCATCCAAATTGGAAAAGAAGAAGTCAATTGTATCTCTTCACTGGGAGGAAGCAAAAAACAAGGCGCTTGCATGTAATAACAGATCTATATAATTTTATAATATGCAATATTTTACCCATAGCTACTGGACATGTCATATCAACATGAAAAAAAAAAACATGTGCAGTTGCTGATATAAAGAAAAGAAGTATATGCGCTATAATATAATAAGTGATAGGACAGTGGTGATTTTGGGGTTTGCACAGGGAAGCCTTCTTGGAATTTAAATTGAGGTAGGAAGAATGATTAAAAGTTACATAGCTCCCCTATCAGAACCATAGAATTTGCAAAGTCTTAAAATGTGAGGTATATTTAAAAAGTATGAAAAAATCAATATGGCTGGAATACAGTGTATGAAATTGAGTACCTGGGAATCTGTATTTACTGGTAAGAAAATCTGTGTCAACTCATTTCTCATTTCCCTTCCTTCTTAACACCTAGAAATAACCCCCCACTGGTAAAACTTATATCTTCATCTTCTTAAACTTCCAACATTTCCCCTCTCTACTCTCTGTCTTATCTGATACTTTTGTTCTTTGTTTTACTGAGAAAATAGGATAAATTAGATAAGGACTTTCAGATTACTGCCCTCACCGCAACCCAAATGATGAAATCTACTAACCTACATTCATAGTCAGCTATATATTTTGTCATGAAGTAGAGGAATCATGTTCCTAAAACCAGTTCTCCTACTTTATGATCTGATTTCATCTGCTTATACACACTCCCAGACACCTCTTTTACAGTTGGACTCCTCCTTTCTTTTCAGCGTTGTCAAAAGTTTTTAAATTCTCTCCTCTCTACTATAATGTCCATATCAGAATATAGTATTATATAATGTTTCTCGAAAAAGAACTTCTTTGGACCCTGCTACCCACTCCTACTAGTGCTCTCTTTCTGTGCTCCTCTTTATAGTAACAAATGCACACTCCTCTAACTTGTAGTTTATATTTATCACTTCACTTTGTCTTTATCCACTCTTTAAACTCCTTTCAGTGAACTTTAAACTTCATTGCAAATTTTCCTGTCAAAGCCATTACTTGCATCCAGGCTGACATATCCAGGGGTATTTAAAAATTTTTTCCAGACTTTATCTAAATCATCTCCTCAGCTTTTGACACATTTCATCACTACATGCTTTCTGTTTTCTTTACTTGGCATCAAAGATGTCATTTTTTTTTCTTCTTTCTCAATAAATGCTAGTTTTAGTCTACTTTTTTACTTTTCCTCATTTTTAAAACTTCCAAATAATGCAGTGGCCCAGCATCGAATCCTAAATTAGAATCACTGTCTACATACTACATGTAGAATTCAAGCACTTTCCATTAGCTCTGTTGCTAAGGTCCCAGTTAAGCCACCATCATCTCTCATCTGACTTACTATTTCTCTCTGTATTGGTTTCACTACATATCCAATGGCCTCCTTCAGTTCAGCACTTCAAAGCATTTGTTCTCTGTGCCTAAAATATTCTTACCTGGGTGTTTGGATGTCACTTCTTTCAAAAGCCACCCTGTTAGAGATATCTTCATTTAACATACTTCAGCACACGTATAAAATACATTTTCATATTTAGGTTCTTGCTAAATATAGTTATTCTCATAATATATTGCCCTAATTGCCTTTACTTAACATTACATCATTAGTATCTGTCATGAGTCCACATTTGAATGTAATTTCAAAATTTTAATATTTCCATAAATGTATTTGAGAGGATACAGTGCAAAAATAGAAGTATCTGATACCAAGGATTCTCTATCCTGATGTAGAAACATCATTTTGTGTCTATGATGGCAGAAGAGAAGAATATAATAAATATTTTGACACCAGTATTTCCTAATGGAATTAAATGATGTAGTAGTACAGCTAGAAATATAAACCAGATTCTTTCCCCATTTTAATATCAGGCTAGAGTTTCCTGTTCCAAGTTTCTGAATCATGGCTTTTTAATATTCCTCATGTACCTCTTTTTTCAAGTATAATAGCATATTGTTTCATTATATCTTGCTTATGACCTCCTTGTATAGCTTATTCACTTCAATATTTATTGAACTACATTATGCATCAAGTACCATATCAGATGTCAGGGGTACAAAGGATACATAAGACATTGTTGCTGCTCTGAGCCACATGGCTACAGTTTTACTTGGAAACTACATGTCCACATTCATCACTTCTATCTATTGGCTTTTCTGTAGACCAAAAAAAGAAAATAAAAGAGAGAGAGAGTAAAAATTAATATCTAATAGAAAGAGAGGATAAAACCAAAGGGAATCAGTATTCCTCAGGGAAGATTAGCAGTCTAAAATTTTACCTGAGTGCACCTCTATTTTATCTATAGATAATTTTAATTCAATATGCCTTATATCTATATATTTGATAAATAAATCTAAAATGCACACAATAAATATTTTTGTAGCAATATTTATCTAAGCCAGTGGAATAAATATATTTGGTTTGAAATAAGAAAACACCCTTCAAACACAAAGAGAGTTTGTGCAGCTTTCAATGAATCAGGGGAACCTCTTTTGGGGAGAAGCAGGAATCAAGAGAATTCTCACATTTACAGAATTTTTCTGCACTCTAATAGAATGAACACTGTATTAGTCCCCCAGTATTTTCTATGTAAGAGAAATAAGGATTTGCATTTGTGAAAAAAAAAATTTCTTATGCTGATAAATCCTGTTTTCTCTTTATGTATGTAAGACTCTAATTTAAAACTAAAAGAAAAAACATTTAGTCAGCAAGGAACAGTTAGATGTATGTCATTACAGTACTTAGATATTAACTACAGCTAGGAGAATTAATTCTTGTTAAGATCAGCAAAGTGAAACTAAACAAATACAGCCTGTCAACTGACTAACTCTTCAGGGAACAAATATCTACTAGCTGGTAAATGTTATCTGGGATTATCAAAGCCATTGTCAAGAAAATGTGAACTTGTGGCTTCTTATGTCTGGAGGGATCATGAAATGTGTGCAGATTTGGAAAGAGAAAATAATTAGTTTGATGCTTTTTCTAAGATTTGGCTTCAGATACTATAACTATTATAAGGTATAAATTAATGATCAATCTGAATATTAATGATCATAAGGAAGTTCAAATAAATTAGAAGACAAATAAATAACAAAGTTAAAATAATTAATAATTAATTTTACTATAGCTGTTCTCTCTCAATGATATAGGTAATTGCATTCACAAAAATACAGCAATCTAAGTAAATTTAGAAATGCTTAATGTCTTAAAACATTGAATTGCAAGAATAATGCTTAAATATATTATTAATACAATAAATAGCATATTTCAATCCAATGTCTTTTCTTTGTTCTCATGAAAAAATGTTCAGTTACAGAAATCAGAAACTGTAGTTGTGTGTCTACTATATTGGGAGAATATAGAAAGTATAAGATATTTATGTGGACAAAGGCATGTGATCCAAAATTATGCTAAAATTCAAATTGGAAATTGGAGACAAAGAATGAAGAATATTGTGTGTGCATGTGTATATTGTTGTTCTAATTCTTAGTTTACATTGGTTATATTTCAACTTAATATTCATTCAGTATAAGCCATGCCCTGTGTTAAGTTCTATACATAATAGAGTAATGATTACAACATAGTTTCTTGGCCATAAGTAGCTTACAATCTAGTAATGGTATAAGGAAGTACATAATTATATACATGTGAAAAACAAGATGAGCATCTTAAAATGGAATAAACTTCTGTCAGGGACAGTTAGGAAAAGCTTCATGGTGAATGTGATGACGAAGAACTTGGATTATATGGTAGGAAACATTATATTACTTATATAAGCTTATATATAACTTTCAGCAAAGCACAGTGTTAAAAAACACAATATGGATATGTAGATGTCCTTTCAGTATGAGCAACATGAAATAATGTCTTTATTGCAGGGAGGAGAAAATGCTTCTGTTCTTCCACCACCCTCAAATTCTGCTGACCTTGCAAATTCCCATGGAAAGAGACAATGTCAATCTAACTAATCAGAATCTGAAATACTGCGATTGCTCCCCAGTAGAATGCAAGGTACACAAAAGGCAAGGATTCAGTTGGCTTTATGTATGTGTCTACATCCTATGATAGTGTCTAGTATATAATAGGTACTTTACAAATGTGTGCTGAATGAATAAAAAAGCACTAAAAATGGTGGTTATCACTTGTTACTAAGTAGTTGTTTTCCTCTATCAGAATGTGTGTTTTTTGAAGATAGGAACTACCTCTCACTAACTATTAGAAACACATAGTTATTCTGGGCACTGTTTAATGTTTTAGAATGAATGGATGCCAGAAAAAATAGTAATGAACAGCCCTACACTCTATATGAAAAGGGAAAATGTCTTGGCATTTCAGATAACATCAATATAAGTGAACAAGCTATCAACCATTTAAAGGAAGTCAAATAGGTTTTGACCTTTTCAATTACATCCATCCTTTAACTCAAAGGCATTATTAGCACTTAAATTACAGTGTTTGTGTAAACAAATTTCAGTTCAACTAGTCATCTTCCGGAGGAAACAAAATGTGTCCAGTGTAAGTTGATCTAATTATGAAGTAGAAAATCAGAATTTGTCACAAAGGAGAAGGTGATGATGCCAACATATCGTTTGCCAGTCTGATCAGGAAAAGGAACACAAAACACAGAAATAAATTGCACTTTCATGTGTTTATATGGGAAAGGAAAAACTCCAAAGAGAAAATCTCTGAGCAACACAAAAGGAATTTCACCTCTGCCACTTGCAGGGTAAAACAAAACATTTTGAATAATGTGTTTCCCCAGATTTGTAGCAAGGATGACTCTGGAAATTTGACCTTTAACAGATGACTACTTCAAACACTCCCTTTTTTTTTTTTTTACTTTTTTCCTAATTTATGTGCCAAACGGGAAAAGTAATTTCCATTATATTATGAACAGTTCATCCCCTCCCTCACTGCATTTTCTCAGGGTCAACACAATCATCAGCAGTAATGGATGCCTACTATAGTTGAGGTGGTAGAAAAGCCGAGTCAAATTGAAATAAAACCCTGACGAAAAATTTATGCCTCGAGTTTTAATATCATCGATGGTCTGGTAATCAGACATAATGTGTTAGAAATCTGTGGAGATTATAAATCAGATTTTTCTGACTAATAGAAACTTTCTAAAACATTCCCTTTAGCAAATTATTTTCTTAAGAAGTGGCAGAGATGATATTTTGCACATATTTGAAAAGAGAACTTTTCTGGAGCAAAGCAATTTTTAAGCTAAAAGAGATAACTTATCCTTAGGCAAGATCCATTAAAATTATTTTGATTCTTTTTATGAATTCTCAATATACTTGGGGTAGAGCAAAACCCCTACTTATTATATTTGTGTACCTAACCAGTGGGTTACCTTCTGCCTTTCTAATCATCTGCCTATCTAACTACCCACGTAACATAAACAAAGGATTGGCTTATTGTAAGGCAGAGGGTTTAATTAATCAAATAATCTAATTCTGGAAATCAAGTATGTACAACAATCATCACAATCTAAATGTTAATAAATAATGTCTTTATATTACTAAGTAGAACTGAGGAACCTCAGAACCTATGTATTTGAATTCCTCTGAACATATAAGTGATATACAGGGTATTTATTCCTCTTTCATTTAAAATTATCTTAGATGTACCCAGTTAATATAGAGTATAGAATTCTAACATTCATTTTGGTAATATAATAATAGTATGATGCATTTGTATAGAAATTTATTGTTGACAATGAATATGCTCATAATTATATTATTTAATACCAAGTAACAGCCTTCTAACAAAGACAAATGTCATTAGACATTATAAAATCAAAGCTTAAAGGGGTGAAGTGTGGCTCATGCTTGTAATTCCAGCACTTTGGGAGGCCAAGGCGGGGTGATCACTTGAGGTCAGGAGTTTGAGATCAGCCTGGCCAAAATGGCAAAACCCCATTTCTACTAAAGATACAAAAAAAATTATCTGGGCATGGTGGCAAGCGCCTGGAATCCCAGCTACTCAGAAGGCTGAGGCAAGAAAATCACTTGAACCCGGGAGGCCGAGTGAGCCGAGGTAGCGCCACCGTACTCCAGCCTGGGCGACAGAGCGAGACTCTCTTCCAAAAAAGAAAAAAAAAAGGAGGGGGGCGGGTTGGGGGGTTAAGTAACTTACTAAAGATTTCCAGTTTCAGCAAGATGGTCCCATTTTGATTATTTATGTGTATGGAAAAATTTTAAAGTTAAAAATCCAACACTTATTTAACAAATAAATATTAGCTTGTTATCTATTCTTACTTTGGTGATTGGCTAAGATAACATTCACAAAAGAGTTCAAGAAATTTTTTTTCTCAAATACATTGACATAAAATATATTACCAACTACTTCAAATGTGGTCAGATTTGGAAGGAAAAACAGTGTAACAGAGTACTTGAGAATGCAAGATCTGATGCCAGTGTGTTTTGGTTTAAACCCTAACTTGGTCATTCACTCTCTGTCCTTAGACTATTTATTCTCTCTCACCTTCAGTAATTTTTCAGATAAATATGGGGAAAATGAACCTAACTCGGAGGGTTATGCTGTGGTTGAATGAAATAAAACATGAACAGATTGAGAAGGGAGCCGAATACAAGTGTCCCACCTACACATTGCCTATTTGTTTATTAATGCATCAACAAGGAATGCCAAATAAAGAGTTGCCCTCAGCCACTCTGGTATTGAATCAATGAGTATGTGTGTACATGTTAATGTGTGTGTCAAGGAGAAAAACAAATAATTGGCAGCTGGATAAGAGGAGAAAATAAATTTCACAAGTTTGAAGGTGAGGATTTGACTGGGAATGTCACCACTTGCTAACACAGAACACCTATATCTGGAGTCTGTGAAATGCTCTTTGATGTTACGTGGAGAGAAAAACACTCCCTGATCCCATACAGCAGTCAGTAAATGGCATTTCCTATAACATTATAGGTAAAATTTTAATAATTTGTAGAATCAACAGCTGTAATTTGCCAGCAGTGGTGAAAAGATTCAATGAGGCAGGTAATCGCTGAGGCAGTCTCTAGGTTATTCTGTTTTAGATTTTTTTAACTTAGATTTATTCTGTTGTATCATATGTAGTGTTACGAATTTTGCATGACTACTGCCCTTGTGGTGCAATGTGAATTAAATGGGTTTTAGAAAGGAAAGTGGTATTTTGCAGGAAACAGTTTTCTTCATAAGCAGCTTATATGCAAGTCTGTTTTCAAAGAGGTAAATTCATATGATGAAGTATTGGTGCTTACTCAGTAAGCAACTAGGAATTTGGAAGCAAGCCAAGGGGCCAGTACTTAACACATTTAAATCAAAACCAATATTATAGGCTAGCAGACACTTTGATGCTAATGACACATTACATTATTCTTCAGATCTTTATTACAAGGACTCCGAAGGTGCAGCCTTTGATAGGTGACAGCCTTGCTGGGTTTCAAGGAGTAGAAACTTTGATTCCTCTGAGTTACTAGGTTTCACAGTTGTAGCAGGTTGGACTTGATATTTTGTTGGTGAATTCCAGGACAATTTCTTTCTGCTACAACTACAAAGTGGGGTGAATTAAGCATGCTTGTTAATAGCAAAGCAGAGGAACACAATTTCACTTATGGTTTTTTTTCTTTTGAATTTGATTAGGAATTCCCTTTCTAAATAGGTATGATATGAGCATTTAAAAAATTTCATAATTTAAAGAAAAACTCATGAAAATAACTATTTTTTGAGCTGAATTATCCTCTATGTTTCCTTGTGAAATAAAATTGCAGTAAGTATATGTATACATTCATTTTACAGCATTTCTTCTTATCAAAATCAGTTAAAGACAGCTCAGCTCTGTTTGTTTTATTCTATTATGACTTGAAAAGTTTGTGATTTATTTTCTACTATATACAAGCTTATAATATGTATTATGTAATGGATTAATTAAATGTTCTTATATAGAACTGGATATTTTATTCTCAAGTGATATTTGATATTAATTTATTTTATGTTTTTCAAATAATGTATGCTATCATAGTAGCAATAGTAATAACAATAAAAAGGCATGAAAATGGGCCAGGATGAACATTTCTTATTTAGTACACACAGTTCAGATTGAAAAAGCCATCTGGTTTAGTTTTTTGTAAAAAACATGTATGTGTTTCCCTAAAGATGAATTCCAGAGAACATCTGATAATAAGATATTTAAATTGAATTATTTGAAATAGTGATAGAACATTATCTTAGACTAATGTAGAGCCAGCATTTGGGGAAAAAATTACAAGTAAAGAAAACAAAGGATTTGAATTGATTTTTATAAAATGATAGGTAACTGAAGATTAATATACTCAGTCCTTTATGTCATGTGGATATTTATTGAAGAATGACTGTATGCCTAACATTGCACTTTGTATGCACACTTGAGAGAAACTCTCCATCAAGTATGAATCTCTGTGCTGAGTCAGCATGCTGTTGTGGTTTGAGTATCATTCTAAATGCAAAATAGGTACCAATCTGTGTCTGGTAAACAGTGTATGCAAGCATAAGTCCTGGTTTGCACTGACAGTTCTTGGGTACGTAGTCAGAAATCTTGACAACTCATACATCAGTGCAAAGCTCTTGGCCGACACTGGTTGTCCTCTCTACTTAATAACCTCTCTTTTTTCCCTTCACATTAGTTGCTTGAGTTTTGTCTCCCCTAATTTACTCTAATTCATTCCTAAAACCTTTCTAATTTGTATTCTTCTCACACTACCCCACTGCAACTGCTATTCCCAAGGTCACCAATGACCTCCTTTTTGCTAAAACCAATCAACATTTCTCAGTTTTTGTTTTTGTTTTTTTCCCACACATGAACTGGTACTTCATCTGACACCACTGCCTCCTTCCATCTTCCTGAAATAAATGTTTAAATTCTTATTACGTCTCTTTTAGTGTTTTGTCTCCTTACTTGGGCTGTCTTGCTTCATTCTGTCTCTTCTTAAATGTTGATATTTTTAAAAGACCTGTGCTTAGCCTTTTATTTTTTTCTTTTACTTATAAAACAAACAAAACCTCTCTTATTCCATTGCTGGGTTAGTTCATACATCTTCATAGGTTTATTTATATTTGTATGGCTCCCAGGGCAGCTTTTTCCCATGAACTCCGGGTCTATAGATTCGGCAGCATAATGAATATTCTTTTGACTCCACTTGCTCAGATTCATCTACTCTTCTTCTTCCCCATGCTATCACCTCTGTTTAGGTCACATCATCTCTTTCCTCAATGAATTTTAACATACACTTCACTGATATATCTGTTTTAAGATTATCTAGCTTCAGTCCATCAATAATCAAAAGGGATTTTTTATAAAATATAAATGTATTCATGTCACTATTCTAATAAAGCTAAAACTCTCCAGTGACTTCCTCCTTCAAACAGATTACAACATAAACTACATACTAAGGCGTTACAAGATTTATTTTGTAATAGTTCCTCTCCTTCCCTCCACCCCCTTGTTTCAGCCTCTGTCACTTAACTCAATGCTATTGTCATACTGACTTTTTTCAGGTTGATATGGAATATAAATTGTTCTCTCTATCTCTGAGTGTTTGTATATGCTGTCTGAAATGCCATATCATTGTACTTGGCTAATTCTGTTCATTGTTTTAGATCTATTCTCAGAAAGTACTCTTCTTGGAGTATTTTCTCCACACACTGAAGACTAGTTTAAGCACCTTTCCTGTGAATCTCATAATACCTAGCTCCTGAGTAGATACTTGCTTCCTTCATTAAAGCGTGATTCTGGAAGGCCAGTACTGAGTCTTACTTATTGTTATTGTCCTTAGAGTTTAGCATAGTGATTGGAATAAAGTTGGTGTTAAATAAATATCTATGGTGTGATTTCAAAACCACTACTACCAACTACTCCAAAAACCTAAGAAGCAAGTCTACATAACAGAAGGTCAGCATATTTTAAGATATACTCTTGGATTAACATAGCATTATGTCACAGCTGTATACAAAAATCTGTATTTTTTTCTTTGCAGCAGACTGAAAGGTCTAATTTATGGCCATTTAAAATGTGAGCACAGATATCCTACTGACATCACAGAAATACATGGTTCATGTGTCACTGAAAGTACATATGTTTTCAATGAAAGTACAAGAAAATAAGGAAAGGTACAGTCTAATGTAACAATTTAAAGGTAGAGCGTTTTCAGGGTTGGTTGATGTAGCGTCTGTACAAAACTATCAGAGGCCTGGATTCTTTTCAGCACTCAGCCCTCCCATACTAATTATCTTGGTTCTCTGGCTACTTACAGTTGGTAAGATATTTGTAGCAGCTCCGCAAAAGATATTGCATTTCTGTGTCTTTATTTTAGGAAAAAGAATTTTCATCATTTCCACCCTTATCCCAGCAGGTTTCTGCCTATACATTATAAGCAAAAATCAGGTCTCAGTTTTATTTCTAGCAAGGAAGATGGGCTTATAACTATTGTCCTAAATTAATAAAGGGAGAAGTATAAATGGATGACAAGAAGTTAAACATCATTGCTAATACAAAACCAAGTGCCAAAAAGTTGCCACTATTTAGGGTCTGAATCCAATGCCAACACATAGAATGCTTCTTTATTAAGCCCATATGTGAATATCATGGATGGAAACAGTGAACAGGTAGTTCTTACATGGTCAGTTAAAATAGTATAATTGCAAGCAGATATAGTTACTAAATAATTAAAGGACCATCTCAAGTTCAACTAGAAAAAACACAAAAGTTGATTCTAGAGGTAACAGAAATAATTTAATATGAGCAAAATATTCTGCAGCCATGAGACTAAAAAGCAGAGTTATCTAATGTGATTATCTTGGTAAACAGGTCCTAAAGATGATTTCAAAAAACATTAGCCAAATTTGTATACCTGGTAAAGGCTTTATCTTGAACAAGAAAAATGTATCGTATGTCCCGTTAGCTCAGCCTTTAATATATGATATATAAATATATGTTAATATTTATATATATATATGTGTATTCCATCTCTAATTACATATATTTAGTGAGGAAAGGTGGGGGAGAGAGAGAGAAGCAAGAATGTGGATATACAGTTTAATATAAACATAATAAGGATATAGAAAACACACACACACCACACATACACACAAACACACACATACAAATGAACAAAATGGCAATCTATCTACTTAATAAAACAGTGTGAATAAAAGTTCTGGATATAGATAACCTACTTATAAGTTGTTTCCTAGCTCTATTATTCACTAGCAGTGTGACTTTCCTAAATAATCCTACGTTTTCTTATCAATAAAATTGTGATAGTTTGCAATTTAGGATTGTTGGGCAATTAAAGGGGAAAATGTGTAAGTGTTCAACACAGTACCGATCATGCTTTAAACATCACTTGAATATTAGCTATAATAAAATAAAAATTATTATTTACAATATTAGACATACAATACAGCCATAATAAAATTATAAGCAAGATCTTATTCATAAAACTTTTTAAAATTGTCTATTAAAATCTTTTATTTAATCAGGCTCAAAGAGCAGACCAAAACCATTGCTTCTATAGGTTCAATTTCTTTCCTTTATTCATATCTCTATGGAAATTAAGCAGAGAGATAATGTCATACAGATGAATATTAGGAGATAAATTTGTGTTGCTGTAAGTTCTTTGAAGCTCACAGTCTACTTGCAATAAAGTTTTCTGAAAATGTGAATCACAGATACGACATTAGGGACGATAGAAAACAAGAGACCAACAAGAAAACATGAAAAAGTGACACAGTGTAATTAACTGTAACAGTTAATTCATAGATAATTTTATCTTGCGATCTTGAAGGAAAATAATAACTAAAGTCTACCCAAATTTTCTTCGTTCATAATCTGTGGTCTTGGCCTCTTGCACAAATAAGCATAAAATATCCACACTGGGGTTGTAGAGTCATTTGAAATACATGGCATTATTTTTGAAAAATTTGGATAGACTTTAGTTATCATTTACTGTGAAGTCAATACATAGCCATCAATAAGTATAATGAGTGAGTTTGTTTAGTCATTTCCCTTTACTTTTTGATAACGTGTGTGAACCTAAAATAAAATTAGGAAGTCAAAAAAAATGCATTAGTGGCTTTTGTTCTCCAGTGGAGTCACTATTAAGGGGTATGTAAATCCTTCATGTTAGAGTAGACAAAGCTCATCTTCTGTCAGTACATTGCATAGTCAAGTAATACAAAAGACTGAACACGTGGAAGATGCTTTGAGCTCTTTGCAAAGAATAATCCATGATAAAAATAATTTACTTGTCTTGCATGTTACCATATTTTATTTTAATCATTTTCATAATTTTCTTATACTATCTGATGTTTTCTAATACAATCATCAAGTTTACAAAATCATAAAAAAATCATTACAGTACAAATGTAGGCACATGCATTATCAGTCATAAGGTTTATTTGAATTCAGCTTACATGGTTTCAGGGTTAGCAGTTACAAAGCTGTTAGCTGAAGGGGAAGCTCTAATGTACTGGAAAACTTGGACAACACAGATATAGCTTCATAGTAGATCTAAATTTGTATTGTATGCCATCTTCAAATTGTTGAGCCTTTTTACTCAATAATCAATATTTCATCCAGCACAATAATAAAATATAGAATTATTTATGGTTATAATTAAGATGTACTTTTTCAGTCACAAGAGAATGAAAAAGTTACTGGAGAGGTGATGTGATTTAATGAAAAGGCCATTGAATAAGCAGCTAAGGCTCTCAAATGAGACAATGAATGTGAAAGCCTTTGAAGAAAGATAAAGTATTATGCAAACTCATAGTATTAATATTAAAAGCCTAAAGTGTTCATTTCTAGTAGACCTCATGGGTTTTTTGGCTGTCTATCAGAATCACATTAAAAAGTATTCTATAAAAACAGTAATATTTGGTACCATATGAAAATCTAAGACTCATGTTTTAACATCAAACTTGGAATTTTCTCCTTTTATGATATTAAAGGGTGACCCTTAAGATCCGTTCTGCAAAAAATATTTTAACTTTTTTTTTATAGTGGCATTCGGCGAGTGTTCTTGTCTTTTACTTTTAGGAAATGTGTAATAGCAACTGCATTATTAAAACTAGGTATATTCCAAAAAGGTTGTCAGAGACCATGACACACTTGGATTCAATCTCAGTGGAGTAACTGCAAGTAATTGTCCCAAAGTCATCACTTTTGGATGTCTCAATGAATCTGGCTTTGATAACATGAAAATTTTTATTTAGGAAAGCTCGTGGAGGAAGGAACATGACTACTTTTGCTGTAAAATGCCAAATTACACAGAAATTTAATTTAAGGTTTAAATTAAATTTAAGAAAGCCTTAAATTAATTTAAGAAGCCACAGCCGTCTCTCTCTCTCTCTCTGTCTACTTCAGCTGACGCATAAATGTGTTTCAAAGAAGCATGCTTTACAATTAAAATTAATATCAATTAAAATTAATATGTATTCATTTCATATCCTTTCAGATATCTTTTCCAAGTGAAGTTCAAAAATCTTCATAAAACAATCCCATTAATCCTTGGAGCATTCTTATGTGGAAAGTAGGAAGAGAAATGTTATTCATCCTTTTATAAAGTTTGAAAAATAAAGTATAAAGGATTTTAGGTAAGCTATAACAATTAAGTCAGTGGGAGATCCAGACATACAACAAAGGTTTTATAATTCTTTTTCTTTTACTTTACTCTAATAATGGCATTTTTAATGCTTTTACTTTTCTTTATTGATTAAAAGATCTTATCCCTCTCTTCTCAGTGGAACATGTGCTCCTGGAAGAAAGGAGACATAAAAGGGGAATATCACACTCTGGGGACTGTGGTGGGGTCGGGGGAGGGGGGAGGGATAGCATTGGGAGATATACCTAATGCTAGATGACACGTTAGTGGGTGCAGCGCACCAGCATGGCACATGTATACATATGTAACTAACCTGCACAATGTGCACACGTACCCTAAAACTTAGAGTATAATAAAAAAAAAAAATAAAATAAAATAAAATAAAATTATATCTCTAATGCCTATTCTAATGTGCAGAGAGCAATTAATAAATATATTTGAAATTGAATTAAATCAAATGTGCTTTGTTTTTCATTTCAAAAGCACACACACACACATACACACACATATATATGATATATATCATATATATATATGTGTATTTTGTTTTTATTCAAACATCGCAAAAGAGTTACACAGTGAAAAGCAGGTATCTCTCCTCTCTAGATATATATGCCCTGATCCAGAGGCAAATGTCTATCACTTTTTTATATCCAATCTATCTTTCTATATAATTTAATGTAAATTAATGAACATGTGTGTCTTTGTGTTTCTATTTATTTTTGAACAACTGGGAGCAAAATGAATATACTGTTCTACATTTGTGGGTTTTTAACAACAATATTTATTGGATAACTTTTAAAATAAACTCTTCATTTGGAAATAATTTTAAATTTACCACAAAGTAGCAAAAATTAAAAAAAATGAGGAACATTCATCTACTTTTAACCAAAATTCAGATTCTGCTCTTATGAATATTTTATGTTATTGTTTAATCATTTGTTTAATCCTTTTATTTGTCCCTCCAGCCCCTCCCCTGACTCTCTTTCCAAAATCATTTGAGGGAAGTTGCATACATCATGGTCTTTTACTCCTAAATATTTGTATTTTTATTGCCTAGAATAACTCTTTCATCTTATATTACCACATTAAAATTATCAACATATTTAATATTGATATGATAATTTTAAATAATACATGGCTGCATATCAACGTTGCCTGTTGAAATGTTTGCCTTTTCACCCCTTCAGTATGGGACCAAGTCTAGAATTAGGTGTTGCATTTAGTTATTTCTTTTGAGCTTTTTTTAACCTGAATTATATCAGAGCCTTTCTTTGTCTTTAATGTCATGGATAATTTTGAAGAATACAATCTCCCCACTCTCACAGAATATTCCTCACCTTCAGTTTGTCTGACGTTCATGATTAGTTTTAAATTATGCATTCCAGGCAAAAAAATAATACACAGGTGATTTTGTTATCTGGGAAACAAATCTGGGGGTACATAATATTCATCTGTCCCTCACTGATAATGTTAATTTAAAAAATGCAATTAACTATTTTCTGGTTTTCCACAGTAATGATTATTTTTGTTCTTCCTTGAAACTAATAGGAAGTCCTTGGAAAGTCACTTTATGACTATACATGTATCATGCCCCACAATAAAATTAGTCCCTGGATTTAGCATCCATTGGTGATTCTTTTCTCATCCCATCTTTACTACTACGGAAGCAAAACGACAATTTTCCAAGTATCTCTCCCTCTAACATTTCCAACTGGCTGTCTGAATTCTAATGTAAAAAAGGATCATCTCTTTTCCCCTAATTACTAACTCTTTATTATTATTACGGGCTCATAAATTTTATTTTGTTTCATAGCTTATAATTTGATACCTCATTATTTTGTTTGATAGCTTGTAATTCATTACTGCTCCAAATTGTTTGGGTTCTGACATTTTTGTAGATTGGGTCATGACACCATTCTTGAAAGTCTAGAAGGAGCAGAGTGGTCTCGCCTAAGAGGAAAAAGATCGCTTAGATCAGTAGAGAGTGTATTAGCAGCAGTTGATTGCAGGCTGGCCTCAGATACTAGACCTGTTTGACTGCTTTATGTGGGAAAGCACTTTATAAAGTGCCTCCTAAAATGCAATGTAACTTCTTCCAACCTTCACTTCAGGTGGTTAACCATGTGTCAAAAGGCCTGGTCTGACAATGCTGACAAGCCTTTAGCTTCATACTCACTACCTGTCTGACTTGGCCCAATAAGCCACTCTTCCTGAGCCTTGCCTGAGCCTGCTTTGCCAATCCAGCTCTCAAATCATCTGAGACTAGGGGAGGGGGGGAAATTGAGAAAATACCACTGTATTTACCTTTGGTGGCCTCCCAGTGTCTCAGAAGTTATCCACACTCTACTGGCAACCTCCATCTTTTCACTATACAATCACACTGCCCGGTTGCCTCCCTTTGCTGGGGACCTTCACATGGCTGAGGTTCTAGGAAAATATTTAAGGGCTTTGGAGTGAGATTTAAATTCTGCCTAGGGCCTCAACCTCAAGTAGAACAAGTTCCCTTTTATGCAGTTAACAGGCAGACATTGATTATAGAGCTGCACCCATTCAGTCTAACTCCAGAGAACGCGTTACAAAAAATCTCCATTTGCAGGATCCTGCAATGCAAAGGTGTGTAAGACATTCCCCTTCAGCTCACTCGCCACGAAGCTGGATTTGGTAAACATAGATACTGCCTCAGGTTCAATCTATCTTTCCCTTGAATCTGCATCATTTCATTTATTTAAATGACCTCTCAGATTCCTTTATTTTGATACTTTGTCCATGTGAATAGGCATGGACCCTTAAACAAGTATCTTTTTTGCTATTTCTTCTATTGAATATTTCACATGTAATGACTCCTTTTTAAATCCTGTACTTTCTGTTTATCAGGACACATTGACTTTGGACTAAAGTTTCAAGAGCCTTTACCGATTTTATGATTTTATTTGATTGTCCGGGGAAGTACTTTAGAGTAGAAAAAATAGGGTCTTTAAAGGCAAATAGAAAGAATAAAAGAGAGGGAAAAATGGAGGAAGGGGGTGGCTGAAAACCTAGCTGTCCCATCCAACCTTACCTTTATACAATGGCATGCATAAGGCACTAATCCCCCACTCCCCACCACATATATATACACACACATGTACACATACAACACACACCTCCCAGCTCCCTATGGGCTCTAACGGCTCTTCAGAACTTTCAGCGATGCAAGTTAAGGGAACTGACTCTAGCTACTAACAGAGCCCAGGAACAAGACACCTTTTAGATATTTTGCTTTTTTAAGCAGATTAACATTAAGGTGGCCCCAAGTGATAAAATCTGCAATGTGACTCTTGACTTTCCTCTTCTTCAATAATGGGTTGAAAATAGGGGTTTCTAACCCAACATGTACTCTTTCCAAATTGTCTAATTAGTGGCAAACACTGCAGCCATTTCTCCAGGTCTCCAAACTCAAAATGAGTACATGAGGGTACAGTTTCTTTTTGAGCTCACAGGGTAGGCATCTGGCCATCTCATCTGGCTCCAATAATCAATTTTTCTTGGTTACTGACAAATTTTTCTCAATCAAAATTATTCTTGTTGGGTGAGCTCTGCTACTTGCAAACTTAGGGAAATTAATAAAATATATCTAACAAATGATTTGGCAGTGGCAGCTGACAGTCACTTAGAGGTCTCTGAGAATGTTCTGTGATTGTTCCCTGTGGTAGACACACCCTGAGGTGACCCTCAATGATTCACATTCTTGTCTTATTCCCTCCCCTTGAGTGTGGGCAGAACCTGTGACTTACAGCCAATAGAATAAGGCAAAGGTGATGGGTCGCTCCCATGATTTTATTAGACTATGTAAGATTCCATTTTAGCAGACTTAAACAAGAGATTCTCCTGCTGGCTTTGAAGAAGTAAGCTTCACTTTTATGAAAAGCCCATGAAAGAGCCTCCTGGCAAGGAACTAAGGCGGCCTATAGATTCTGAGGGTGGTATCCTACTGATGGCCATCAGGAAAACAGGGACTTCCATCCTACAGCTGCAAGAAACAGAATTCTGCCAAAAACTACCTGGGTCTGAAAACGAACCCTGAACTCCAGAGAGAAAAAAAGGTTAGTAGACACCTCTATTGCAGCCTCCAGAGACCCATGAATAAAAGACCTATCCAAGCTGTGTCCATATCACTGGCCCAATGAAACTGCAAGATAATAAATGTCTATTGCTTTAAGCATCTAAATTTGTGGTAACTTGTTACACAGCAATATAAAACAAATACATTTTTCATGCAGTGAGAAGAGTCCAGGAGGAGAAAAGACTGGCCATATTCAGCCTGCCCCTGTGACTTCTAAGGCTATGCTGCTGCTGGTGGTGTTTGTCATTTTTCTCACTAAGGTAAAAAAGTGAATTAAGATGAAAGAAATGCAAGAGAAATGCTTATAAATACTAAGAACAGCAGCATCTTGCCTAGGTCATGCCTACGCCTACACGCACATAAGCAACACACATCCTGTACTTTCTAGAATGCTTTGCACTGTTTAATGATGCTGGGCGGTCATTTGCTGACTACCCTCCAGGCATGTTTTTACCAATTAGATTAGGAAAGATGGTGACTGCCACAGCAGCTCGAGGGCTGTGTCAGAAACTCTCAGGATGTAAGTTGTTTTACCAACACCATTGGGGCAGGAGACAGACAGGGATTAGTGAAGGGGTGGGTTTCATTGCCTCCTTCTAAAAGTAGCTTTATCTCTCACCTCAGACCTTCTAGTTCTGGCTCTACCACTAAGTTCTAATAGAGCTCCCCAAATTAAACTCTAATAGAGAAATCCTTTCAGATTATGGCTCCCTAAAGGGATCTAAGTCTGGGGTCTCTCATCATACATTCATTTAATCAGCATTTAATGAGCTTCTACTCTGCGCTAGCACTGCTGATACAGCAATGGATACAACTTATAAAATCCCAAAACACATAAAGCCTAGAGGCTAATGGGGGACACAGAGAAGGCAATGGTCAATTTAAATACATTACAGGGAAAGTGAAAATGCTCTATGAGCACAAAAGAGGGACACCTCACTCATCAAAGAGGTTCTAGGAAGAAACCCCAAACACCACCAGTAACGATGAAAAGGAATTGACATAGCAGAGTTCTTCAAACAGAAAGAACATGTGCCAATGCCCAGAGGTGAGTTTCAGGAGCAGCAGAACTGAAGCATAGGGTTTATGGGTGAGTAATAATAATTATAAGGGACAGCATTTATCCAGCATGTACTGTGTCAGTGCAGTATTAAGTGGGTGGTATGCATTATCTCATTTGATCCTCACTTCATCCCACTGATGAGGCAACTGGGGCACAGAGAAGTTAAATTCTCTGCTCATAGTCACAACACTGGTTAAGTGGGAAGCCAGGAATTAATGCCTAGCCAACTGACTCCTAAGCCCACACTATAATGGCCCACTCTAAACTAAAAAAAATACACCAAATGGTGAGATCAGCCATCTACCCTTCACTAATAGAAACACCAACTCATCCTATGGGTAGAAATCCACCAAGGTTCTACAACTCCCTGATCTCAGACACTCCGTCCAGCCCTCGAGTTCTCTTGCCAAAAACAGAGAGGAGCAATTAGGTCTCCTCCAGTTACTGGGTCCCAGGTTAGCATGCCAGGTTTCTAGATTAAGGTTCTGCCCTTCTAGGCTTCCTGGAAACTACAATCTTGTCTCTGAGTTCAGTCTTCTTGCCTAGATTCCTCCTATCAGACATCAGACACCATGTTCTGCCTCCTTTTTTGAACTTCTTTATATTTTGGCCCCATGGGCATCCTCAAATTGTTTTTGGGTCTCTGTGCTTCTGTCTGGTTTCTAGGGTCTAGTCATCTTCAGTTTAGCCCGAATACAAGAGATTTCTGAGTGAGTATCTTTGTCACATAGAGGTGGCTGTGATGTTTCCTAGGCATAGTATTGTGCCCAACTGTTCCAGTTTCAAAACCCCCCTTTTGATCTCAATTTCTCTGAAGCCATGGTGCATCCCAGTCCTCCTTCCATGTTAGCTCCTAGGGTTAGTACTCAAATCCTGTTACTTTGTTTTTCAAACTATTTTGGAAAGAGGTAGAATATAATTTTCCTCCTCTTTAGATTATTCAAAAATATCTTGCCCTCTTCTACAACAAGAACAAATCAATTAAAGTGATTTTTTTCTAAGTAAATCAAAAATTTCTTGAGAATAAATCTATAATCATCATAGAGCTACCAGAATAAATAGCTCAATGTGTAGCCAAATTTTAAAACAAAAGTTTACACCATTATACAGTTTTACATATTTAAATTAAAATAATTTGTATATACATACACATTAATTGTACATTCATATTTATATATTAGAGTGTAGTAGTATTTTCCAATCCAACCGATTTTTAAGCTGTGTCTAAAATATACCTTTCTCTCTTTTGGTTTCAGTTAATTTCTCCAATGTCTTAGAGTTTAAGAGCTCTTCTATTTAGCAGGCCATGAATATCTCCTAGTGTACCATTGCTTTTTTTTTTTTTTTTTTTTTTTGAGACAGAGTCTCGCTCAGTTGCCAAGGCTGGAGCGCAGTGGCTTGATCTCCGCTCACTGCAAGCTCCGCCTCCTGGGTTCACGCCATTCTCCTGCCTCAGCCTCCGGAGTAGCTGGGACTACAGGCGCCCGTCAACCATTGCTTCTTAGAGTATCCTGCAACCTTCTAGAGAGTCTAGGTCTTCATTCCAGAAGGTTTCTTTGTTTATTTGCCTACACACTCATGAACAGTTTACCATCTATAAACATGCTTATAAATGGCTACTGAAAGAGTCATTTTAAAAGAATAAATTAACTGCTGAGTAAATGACTCCCACAATTTTCTATATTTTTGGATATATTGCTATCTTTTGTTCTAACTGTGCTTGAAATTTTTAAACGTAGCTATATGTTCTATAAACACTTTATTTATTATAAATACGTTTTGTACAAGTTATGAAGGCCAATTTACAAAGGTAAATGTTACTTAATAATTCATATATCTGCCCACCAAATCAACTTTTTCCATTCCTGAAAGGGTTATTATTTGACAGTTCTGACCAGCAAGTCTTTATTCCTTTTCTGTTGTAAATTGCTTGAACATGACTTCAACTCCTAAGTATCAATTTCCTGCTGGACTCCTTGCTATCTAATATCTCAAACTACTTTCTTTAAGGCCACCAGTGACCTTCCCTGCAATTTAAAGTGCAATTTTCTTTGTTCTATATTTTGAGACTTTCTGCACCCTTTCATATGATGGGACATCACATTCTCAATTACATTCTTTCTAGTTTTAGTAGCATCAGTTATACCCTGGTACAAGTTTTGTACAAACACACTCACATACACAGTTTCTATGATGAGTCTGTATCTCTTCATATCCTTCAACTATCTGTGTGTTACAAATGACCATTAGGATACAATATTTTTTATTATTCTGTGCATAACTCAAAATGCACAATCTGTTCTCTTACTTAAATACTTATATAATTAGTTATAGGGTTACACACATATTAGTGGGAAGGAGGCTGCAGATATGGGCATGCATTTTATTTATGCTCTAAGAAAGTCCACTCAAATTTTATTTCTATGATTAACATTCAGTAGCATCTCAGTACTTTGTTGTTCCCAGGTGTAAATACACTTTTTGCAATCTTCTGTTTACTCACACCATTTATTCACTTGACCATATATATCTAGCTGATTTCCTTACTCCAGACACTGGAGGTTCAGTGCTGATTCAGAGTAGACTCTGGCCATTACTTTCATAAAGATTACAGTCTCGTGGGAAGACTGGCATTAACAATTTAATCAACCAAGAAAGCCTGCAATGGAAACTTTTGAAAGTGTTAAATACTGTGTTAAGAACCTGTAATAGGGATATCTGGCCTCATCAGGAAGGTCAAGGAGGAATTCCTTAAGGCTGTGCTTCTTTAACTGAGAATTGAATAATAAATTTGAAGTAAACATGTGGAAAAGGTTCAGAGGAACCTGCTAGCCAGACAGAATGGCATAAACTAAGGCTCAGTGGTGGAACTGAAGAAGAAATTGTAAGAGAGATGAAAAGAAAGTAAATGTTGCTGGAACACAGAGACCATCATGCTGGGCCTTATGAAGCATACTAGTTTTGTTATTATCCTGTACGTAATGGAAGGCCACTGAAGAGTTTTAGGTCACAAGGGAATGGAAGGAAGATTATGGGGAAGAGGGGAAAGGAGTGTCATGTTCAGATTTGTATTTCCTGCATAGAGGTTTCAGAGGATTTTCTACCCTCAGCACCATCTTTTCCTTCCTGATCTGAAGTTTTAATAGTCTAGATGTAGTTATCCTCCTTATTCAAAGGCTCTTTGATTCTGAGTCTCCTTTGTTTGTTCTTCCTCCTCTTCACCACTTTTAAATAGAGGAATTTCCTAAGGCTTCTTGATAACCAATACCTACATGTCTTATTTGCTCTTTAGTGGACATCTCAAGCATAGCATGTCTAAAGTACACAAAGAAAGAACCTAGTTTCTCTTCCTTCCTTCCTTCCTTCCTTCCTTCCTTCCTTCCTTCCTTCCTTCCTTCCTTCCTTCCTTCTCTCAGGCAGCCAGACATTCATTCAGCAAACTTCTGCAGAGCACTTTGCTAGGCCATAGGTATTCAGAAAAGAATTAGGGAGAATCTTTGACCTCAAGAGAGTAAAATACCCTCTATGATTTGTGACTACAACCCTGTCTGTGGATTTTTTTTTGTTCTTTCCCCCAAATATTTACCTTTCTATATCTCCACCTCCCTAATGCCCCTCAGTTTATCCTATTTTCTACCCTCAGAACCATGTTCTCTTTCTCATGCCAAAGTTATCACTTGCACGCTCTTATGCAAGAATGCTCTGAGAGTTAATATTAAAGATACAGGCAAGTGAGAAGCGGTTCCCTTCCAAGTAGATAGGCAATTGTCTTGCCTCTTCTGTCATGCCTTTTCTGTCCTATTGCCTGTTGTGCTCTGCTATGACACACATTTTCTTGATACACCACCACCACCATCCTTATGTAACTTCGCCACCTATCAGAATGCCTATAACATTGTAGATGGGAGCGGTCATACATAAAGCCTAATTCTCTTTGGATACCATCTAAATATATCGGAATCTCACCATGATGAAATAAGTGAATAAACTTAGAATAAATTTCTGGGAGACAGCCTAAGAGACAGCTGTGAAACTAGCTAGTGTTATGCTCTGTTCCCATGCTGAGCACCTCTTTCCATCTTCCCCCATTATTTATTTGTGTTCACTGTAAATCACATGCCACTTGAGAAAATTTTACACCAAGAAAAGAATGACACAATGCTTATTGTTTTCTTTTAAAATAATTATTTAATATATAACTTTTATATAATGTTGTTCAGATAATTTAAAAAATAAGTGCAATGAACTGAGTTATTCTATAAGAAGGGGAGTTCCTTTCCCTGGATTTTCCCACTGACCCCAGCCCAATAGTAAAGCATTTTGTCATTCAGCATCATACACTTCCTATCCCTAGTTCATGTTTGCTCAAGTTCATAAATAGTGAATAAATACTGACTTCAGAAACTCTTTCCCAAACTCTGGTATTCCTCTCAATTATGTCACGTGTGACCCACCTTTCTATTCTTGAGTAATTAATCACCCCATCCAACATTATCCATTATTTAAAATAACTTAATAGATTGATATACCTAGTAAAGTTAGCGGAAATTAATGAAGTAGAATGTGTTGACCATTCCTGTTCCTTTGATGTGTCAGACTGCTTTAAATAGTGCCAAATAATCCTGCTTCTTACCTCTTTTAGGAAGCATTCCTCATTTTCTCAAAACCACAGTGATCCATCTCATCACAGCCCTTCTAGAGTATTTAAAATTTGAATAACCTAATTTAAACATCCAGCCAAGGATTAAAGTTATGCAGTTATGACAGTTGTCCTTACTGGTTATTTACAATTAGAATCTGTTCTGATACCTTGGTGCAAATTTTTAGCTCTCCCTCACTCCTGCCTTTGCTTATGATAAGCAACTTGACCTTAACTGAACACACTGTGCTTTCTCTTCTCATTTTGACTTTGTTCTTAATGAGGTCCCTCTATCTGAAATATCCTTTGCCCACCTGTACGTGAAAAAGTCTCTAATTTTCCAAAACTCAGCTAAGTGACAGCTTATTTTTAAAGATTTTCCAGATTTTTACACATAGAATAAATCACTCCTTGTGGGTGTCCCCTGAGCACTCTGTGCATATCTCTAATGTAAAACTTATCACAATGGATTGTAATTATTTATTTCCAACTTTGTGTTGGTCACTAGACCATGAACCCCTGGAGAGCAGTGGTGGTGCTCTGTTCACTGCTGGCATGCCATAAGTGCTCAGTAGTTGAGTGGCTGAGCTTTAAATAATTCGTAGAATGAGTCAGAGCACTTAAAAGTGAAGGGAAAATACCTTAGTGGAATGAATAGATTTTTAGAAAATGTTTTACACATTCATTAATGCCTTGATTCTACAAGATTATAAACAGTGGGGAAGAATAACCTAATTTAAACATTACATTTTTTATCCTTTTCTATTTGTATCTCTCTTGAGGTAGTATTAAGTACATGTTAGATGCTTCATTAAAACAAAACAAACAAGCAACCTACACACACACACACTGAGAGAGAGAGAGAGAGAGAGAGAGAGAGATTTTTAAAATAAAAACATACTTTGCCTCTAATGACTATGTTAAGAATACAGAACGTCATGAGTAAAGAAGAACTGAAAAACTTTAACTCAATTCTATCACCACTTCATCACCAATATGAGACAATGGACTGTTGAAAAGCAGACTGTTGGTCTCTACATATATCAGACAAATAAAACTTTCATAACTCCAGGTTTGAAACTCTCATTGACTTATGAAAAATCATAGAATAAAAAGTAGCAAAGTAAAACAGAGTAAAAGATAAAAGGTAAAGCTATAAGACTTTCTATTTTATTACGTACTTAGATTTGTATGTATATGATATCCCATATTATATCATTTTAGATTTGAGAAAAGTTCCTAAAAGTTATTTAATTCATTTTTTATCTTACAATAGTTAAAATTAAAACATCAGAAGTTTTATATGCAGTAAATGATTAACCCGTGTTTACCAACAAAATCTACAATCAGCATCTAGTTTCAAAAGTAATTAGTATGATTGGTTCCCAAAATTGTGTTTGTACTATACCAGAGTTTTCATGTTAGTGAATAGCAATTTTTAATGAAACTCCTGAATGAATTAAAAGACACAGCCACATAATACTAAGCAAGTCAGTAACAATGAAAACAATGAAAATACTAAAGAGAGGCAATAGTAATTGAACATTTACTATATGCAAGGCACTGTTCTCCATGCTTATAAGATTAGTTCATGAAATTTTCACAACAAACTTACGAGGTAGGTACTTTTATTTCCCGTTTTTTTTTTTTTTTTATTATGAAGGCATGAAGACTGAAAAGGGTGGAACAACAAATTGTATTCCGGTAGTCTGGTCCCAGACTTTTAAAAATATTAAAAGTCAACATTTAAAACCCAAATGTAACATAAAAATCTATTTTAGATTAAAACATACCTGAGAACTTAGAGACACACAGAAGCACAAGAAATGCAAATGAATGTATCCTTTAACTTATGTTTCCTATTTCCCATAAAGTTTTTGGTTTTAATTAGACACACCTGGTCCCAGACTACCTGAATACAATTTGCACGCACTTATTGCATATTCTTACATGCAACAAGTGCACGCAAACAAAAAAGAAAGTGTCTTTAAAAGCATCTGCTCTTTTCTTGCTCTGCTGAGAAAAAGTGTTTTCTAGCATGATCATAGCCTCTTCTGTACTTCAAATGGAGAAAAGTTGCTGGAACTTAACTTTACACCTTGCCTCTCATCACAGCAAATTGTGTCATTTTCTTCCCCATATTATTGGTTTCACTCAGCTCCATATTTTATCTGACTGACTGCAGCACCAATATGTATACTCAGTTTTAGGCAAAATGCATTTTCCACATTGACCCAAATGTTAGGACATACCCTTGAGAGTTTTATGGTGTGCCATGGCACACAGGTAGAGAGCCACTTACTTGTGAAAATTTACCTAGACAACCTTTATGATATGCTCAGTTCCATGCCACTGAGACCAGTATCAAACACTGAACAACAAATTCTCTGCTTTTAGCAGAATTTAGCATTAAAAAGTACTGTTGTCCATTTATATTTTCTCATCAAAAACACTATTAAAATTAATTCATGGATATAAGTTGTTAAAAATAGCTAAACCCAAGGCCCAGTACCTTTAGTGCTATTAAACATCTACTGCTTAATAGCTCTAGATTATTTTTTCATTTTATGCAGTTCGAATGTGAACAAGCTTCTCTGTCTCTAACTCTGAAAGAAGTGGAAAAGTCTTCATAATTTATTAACCCCTGAAAAGGGCACATTCGTTTGTCATAGCTTCAGAGGCAGAGAGAGAAAGCAGATAAAAAATCACATTCGTACTTTCAATTATTGAATTCTAATTTTACTGTCTTATTCTGCATACTTCAAATGGGCATTACTAAAGGGACTAAGTTCAGGGCTATTGTTTTATTATTATGCAATAGGACCACAGTAAAATATTTTGAGCCAAATCAAGTGTGTTCAGTTAACTTTTGTTGTACAATTTATATGTATGTCACTAGACAGATTCTTCAGTGGCTAATTAAATGATACTATCTAAAAATAATTTATCTTCAACTGATAGGTTCTACGTATGGATTGGTTTTCTCTGAGGAGGTTGTATTTTAGGCTTTTTATTTCTTTTAAATCACTGAGTATCTGTAAATAAGTTGAATAGCGAATAAATATCACTTTTTAGTGCCATTGTCCTAGGAACTAGCATTAGTAGCTACCAAGACAGTGAAAAAATTGGCCTTAAAAAGTAAATTGTCTCTAGTTTGCTTGTTCAAACACAAACTACTATCATTTGGGAGATATTAAGTTTTTAATTAAAATAAAAAAATTCTTCATTTTTTATTATTTTACTTATACTATAAAGAACCTTGTCCAAAGTCAAACAACTGTAAACTCGGCATACTATTACCAGCAAATAATTGATTGTAAAATAGACAATAAAAATAAAGCTAGCTTGCTTGAACATACATTATAAATACAAGATAACTTTGTCCAAAAATGATTGATACTGTTTTGATATCTACCACAAGCTATTTTATTCTTATAATATTTCAGTGACCACATTCAGAATCAAGTATGAGTTATAAAATAATTGATAGACTTTTCACAAAACCCAAATATAATGTAAAAATCTATTTTAGATTAAAACATACCTGAGAACTTAGAGACACACAGAAACACAAGAAATGCAAATGAATGTATCCTTTAACTTATGTTTCCTATTTCCCATAAAGTTTTTGGTTTTAATTAGCCACACCTTAAAATACATTCTACTTTTATAGTAAATTAAAGATGAGAGCTTTTCAGGTAGAAAAAAAATAATATGTGCAACAACAAGAATTTTTTTACATTGTTCAGTTATAAATGCCAAGTACCTAGAAGAGTGCCTGGCACGAAGTAGATACTCAAGAGAAGTGACTGATTAGATAACCGGCTGTATTAAGGGAGGGAGGGAGAGAGAAAGAGAAAGAAAGAAAGAAAGAGAAATTGATTGATTTGGGGCACTGAAATTTGTAAACCTGTTTCTGAGTCCTAGCTCCTCCATTTACTGACTTACTGACTGGGTGATCTTTGGCAACAAGTTACGAATTATTAGTCTCTGTTTCCTTAGTTGCATAATATCAATTACTTTATCACATATCAATTGTTAAGAATTAATTGTATATATACACAAGGTTGATAAAAAGATCTTTTAAACTTTAAAATGCATAAAAACATTACATTTATGTACCTAAAATATACACCTAAATATCCAGACATTCACACAATAAGTCCAAGCTGTCCAAAATGACATCATAGTTACTATATTTTTTGGCTTAAGTAAAAAGTTGGCCTGGAATGCCCAGAATTTCCCACTGTCAAGACAAGCATAGAATTCATGATCATTCAAGTGCTTGAACTGAGAAACTAAAAAACCAAGCAGTATTGTGCATTCAATCATTACATGAAACTAATAAAGGGGCTTACAATAAACTAAATTCTAGGAAAGTGTTAAAATATACAAAAGAGTATTATTTTGCAATAGGTAAAAACATAATTTGAGGAGTCATTTTCAAAAGAAAAAATATATCACCCCCAGCATATGGAGTATGCAGAGAACTTCAGAAGAGTTAATAAGTATCTTTTCATGGCTATTTTTTTCCATCTCTTCTTAATACTGGTTACATAAGTCAGATAAAGAACATATGTATTTAAAAGGAGGCAGAGAATAGGGCAGTACAAGTAACATCACACATCATTTATTTATGTCACCCTGTACTGGGAAGCCTTCCTAGGGACTTTGTGGCATAGGAAATTGCTATGATATCACTGATGTCCTCTCTTAAATTAAAAATAATAATAAAAAACTTTTTGTGAAATGAATGAAGTCCATTAGCTAGGTAGCTCATATCTCGTGTACTTGCGTTGTATAAAGTTGTCCAAAGGAAAAGAAGGAGATAAGCAATTTAACACTGCAGTCACCATCAATGTAGTGCATTTGTGACTAGCAAGGCTAATACTGAAAGAAGGAATCATACACAGAAAAAAATGCAATTTAAATGTCTAGATCATTCATTAGCTGAATAAGATTTTCTTCATTGTTGACAGAATGATATAAATAGATTTTTAAAGAATTAATTATTAGGAGACAAATGCTTTTCCCTTAGTTAAGTTTAATCACCTGTGAAAATGACACAGTCAGTACCACTGGGTTTTTCAACTTCACTATAGAGTACTTAGGGAAAGAAAAAAAATTCATTTCAAAGCAGTGACTCATGCTTTCAAGCTCATATTATCCAAAACTTTTAGATTTCACTTTAAATTTTGAAATTCACAGAATATACCAACTTAAATTTTTCTCAGCAAAAAATTGACTCTAGATGTATATTGGAAGCTTTTTGAGGTTTTGTTGATTACGTATTGTTGTGGCTGAGACATTAAGCTCACTTGTTTAGATTTAATTAATACACATCTGACACTGTCTATAAACTTAGTTTTGTTCAGACCTGAATGGACTAAAGGAGACAATTCGAACAACAGTAATGTCTAGAGCTGCCAAACAGGACTGGGCTAGCAGAAGACACAGAGTGTGACATAGCTGAAAAACCCCTGCTGTCTTAAAGCTCAACTCGAGAATCTCCAAATCCTGAGTTTTAATTATCAAAATTACTAGTTTGCAAAGGCAGAAATATTCTATGTTAAAGGCACAGTAAAAATAAATCTAAAAAGCATAAGCACATCAACACTTGATGAACAAGCCATTATTCAAAAGTTTTATAACCCTAGGAGGAATGGAGATGCTATTAAAATAAAAGAGCACGTTAAACAAAATAACAATTAATTACACTTTTCTGTGGCTTTATTTCATAAATAACTGCATCCAACTTTAAAATAACAACAGTATGCTACTTTATACCATAATAATAGACAACATTTGAGGGGATACAAATGTTTTTGAATTCTTCATTTGTTATCATGTGAACATTCTCAGTCAATTGAAAGCTTTTAGTGTAGTGACTTTTCAGGTTCTCTGTCACATTCAATCACCTATCCATAGCAGTTCAACAGCTCTAAATATATTTGTTTTGCTACAATATAACAAGATCCTCAGGCATAAATGTTACTACTGACAAATGATTAAATAATATAAAGATATATTTTTAGGATTTAAATATTTTCTGGCTATGTAAAGACAGTATTTTATTATGCACCAAAAAGCATAACAAAAATGCAATAAATGATTTTAATATCTCTTAATTCCACAAAGAAACCCTTACATCCATTCTTAAAATTTTTCATTATTATTATTTCCAAATATTTAAATGGTAAATATGAATGTAAAGTCCTACAACTTTATTTCAGAAGCCAGAGCCTTTGCTCACTTGGTAAACTTTGTTTTCCCTGTATAAATGCAACTTTGGAAAACTGTCCCAAAGAACTGCCATTTAACAATTAGAAACTTTGACTCATTTTAAGTCTACAGCAACACTACTTGGTTGACCATTTCTACCACTATTCTTTAATACTAATAGAAAAATATAGAGAAATGATGCAGAATGATATACATACACATATACAGTTTTAAAAACACATTCAAAATTGTGGTCTTATAATAGCAGTATTTTCCTTTTTCTAAAGCGAAGCCGGATTTACCTGCTTTTCATTTTCTGCTGCAAATTAGTTTGTCAGGTACACGTTAGCAAGCTCTTTTTTTAATTCATTTTGCTAACTCCATAGTCCTTTAAATAATGATAAACATTCCTGAATAAAAGCTTACCAGATAGTAATCCTTTTTGACCCTTATAATATTTTCTCTGTAAGACACATCTACCTTTATTTTAAAAGAGAAGGTAAAACAGAAGAAGCCCTTACCAGAGACAGAGAAAACAATTCGTTCAGCTAGATCCAACAGTGCTCTGTGCAGCCTGGAAGCATGAGTGATCCTTGGGCCTCACACAAAAGCGAGATAATTGGCTCTCAATGAAGAGATGTAAACATCCATCATAATGGCACTGTGCTGAAACTGAACGCTACCTCAGCTGTTCTATGTACTCTGACTGGAAGATGATGTCACAAACATCAACTGGGTGTACTCTCATTGGCTTCTGTTACCTGGAATCATATCTTAACCCTAAACTGTCAGCTACAAATTGAAATGCACATTTCTGACTATAATTTCTGCCTTTAAAAGGAGAGTGAAAGTAATGTTGAGCTCCTGGGTGATCACAAACTGAAAATACTGCCCTCTAAATATGCTAAGACTGATTTACCTAATTAATTAATCAGAATTAGTGAAAATTTTATTTTCCAAATGTGTTTTGTTAAGTAGCAGTGTTTATAAAAGGTATTTGACAGAATGGATATTAAAGGACAAGATGTATGTAATCATAACATCTGGAATTTTAAATTTTGTAATTACTTTGCGTTGATTTTACAGTACTAGCCCCTGAGATTTAAGAAACTCAAATTGAGAAAAATTATAATGTAGTCAATTGTACAGTGAAGTTTTTAATCAATTTTTTCAGAGCAGCCATTTGTTTTTAAATCTTCTAATAAAACCACAAAAATGGAAATGCATTTTATTCTCTGAGTGTTAAACACTGTTTGCAAAGTTTCATGTAATAAACCTTAAAGTTTATTACATGATATTACATGAAAGAGATATTAAAAGCACATCACTAATACAATAATGTTAAATATTGGTTTTTACAAAGAGTAATTTATAAGCCACTGGAACTTCAGACAATCCCATTTCAGTAATTGAAAGCTACTCTATGATATAGTGCTGTTCTTTTTGAGCACACACAGGGAATAATTATCCATCTCTTACCTTCTATCTTGACAAAAGCCCCAGATTTCTCCCCAGGCTTAAATCCAGTGGGAGAGGAGGATAATGGGCTAAGCTGGTTGCAGCAGCTTGCTGCCAGAGGGACAAAACTACAATCACCTTGAAATATACCCAAGCTTTCCCTACTGAAAGGAGCTGTCAACCGCATAACTGTGAGATGCAAGAATTACCAGAGCTATTCAATGACCAGTTCCTTCTAAATCTAGCCCAGCCATATCCCAGGGCAAGCCCTTTGAAAGCTGTGCAGCTCAGCATGCGAACAGTACAAGCACCTGGAGAAAGAGCAAGGAAATTCACTTCAACCACCCCAACTTTAGGGAAAGGAAAGTCACCAACAGTGCACTTGCATGACTTTATGCTGTTTCATTTATTTCTGAATAATGGATTCAGGGCAAATACTTGTTACATTCCCTCTGCATTTACAGTGACAGAAAATTATTTTTACTCAATGGCCTCAATAAGAGTTCAAAAAGTTGATAATATATGAAAATACACTTTCATATGTTCACATTTCCTCCCAAGTTCTGACTTTTATGATAGTCAGTTTATTTGATTACTCTGAGAAGCGAGTTAGCATGTGACATGGGAGCAAGAGTTCTAGACTAGGGTTGAAATGATTCATCCTCCAGTTCTTGCTCCACCACTTACTATCTGTAAAAACTCTGGTAACTTAGCATCTTTTATGTATAGACTGAGAGTGGTAATGCTACATACAGCAAAATAATAATAATAAAGATATGGGGATCAGATGAGACAATGCATAGAAGCTTGTTATATAAAATAAAAAGTATTACATAAATATAAGATATAATTAATATTATCGTTGTTATGAAAACAATCAAATGCGTTTATTTTAAAGACACATGGAAGATTTAAAATTTAGAGTTACTTTGGTGCCCTCAAAATAATGATATAAATATGTTAAACCCTTAATATTTCAACTCAAAAATAATGTTGCAAATTAACTTGATTTATAACACTGACTCACTCAATTTTTTTTTTGTTTGTTTGTTTTGGAGTTTTAACCCTCCCAGAATAATTTCAGCATGTTTTCTACATGCAACAGGATATAATCTATCTATCTATCTATCTATCTATCTATCTATCTATCTATCTATCTATCTACATTCAGTTAATTTTTAAAGACAAATGTATTTTCTGGTGATTTTAGTGCACAGAAATCATAACCTCTCTTATTTGTTTTGCATTTATTTGGGTGACAGAATGCCACATATAATGTGCCTAGAGAAATACAGCAATATAAAGATTGGGAAACTTAAATACTCCTAGGGCTCTGCAGGCATTTTTGTTTGTTTGTTCATTTATTTATTTGTCAATTTCCACAGGTATCAACGTATAGGCATTTTGTATCAATAACCCACATCCTACACAAAATTTGTTTACAAGTGAATAAGGTACCTAGTAAAGAAAGCTGGTTTTTGTTATTAAAATATGTCAGTGAGATTTTTTAAGAATATAGATTTCAATGCTTAAATATTATACAAGATGGAGTCTCTAATGAATTACTTAGTATTTTAAGGACATACACTTATTACATATGAAAATAATTTCATATTTAAAATTTGAATTGTTTAAAAATTAACAAAATTATTGGCTTATACTTTAATTCCTAGGAAAATTGATAGGAAAAAAGATAATGTACTAGAAATACTTCATACTAACGTTGGACTAGAATAATGAGTGAATCTTTATCACATACATTAAGTCAACTTCAAATTTTGTATTTATTTATTAGGACAGAATTTATATTTTAGTTTTAAATAATTACATCTATACACTCAGGAACATTCAGATAAATACAGGATATAATAGTTCATATATGAATATCAGTTTTATTACTCCAAAGTATATTTTATACATAAGGACAGAAGAAAATATATATACATATATTCTCTTACAGTGGGGAGAAATCATTAGAAAGTAATAATTAGTAGAATTTATAAAATTTTTTTGTGATTTTTTAGTGGTGTTTCTTTTGGAAAAGTAGAGATACTAAACTTCAAGACCTTTCAGTAATTTATTTTCAGAATGTCCTTTGGAAAAAAGTCTGATGATACTTGGACATCAGTCTGCACATGTATCTGGGTTAAGGTCAAAAATAAGATAGTGTGTATGTGATGTGAACATTGATAATAAGACACGTAACTGTTTTCTACTATACTAAAATAATATTATTAAGAAATACAACCTGATTACAAAATGTAAAAAAAATTCTAAATGTAAAAATGTTAAAACTTTAAGAAACTACAAGAAAAATAAAAGGATGGTGTCATTTCTTGAATATTCTATTTAATATACACATGTGGAAAAGTAAAATGCTGCATATAGCTCTAATTTCATAAAGGAATAATGACAAACACTGCATTTGAGAATGAATTTACCAACGTTGTCTCATTATTTATTACATTCCTCCAACTAAAATGGCCAGCTAGCATTTGTGAGTTCAGAGAATATAAAATATTTTAACTTTAATAGTGTGTAAAAGTTTAATATGAGGGGGCAAAACACTCTATAGACATCAATTTAAGCTTCATTCTCAGTAAATGTATATTAGTAAATGTTTGCTTTCTTTCTTTTTTTTTTTTTTTTTTTTGAGACGGAGTCTCACTCTGTCGCCCAGGCTGGAGTGCAGTGGTACAATCTCGGCTCACTGCAAGCTCTGCCTTCCGGGTTCACGCCATTCTCCTTCCTCAGCCTCCTGAGTAGCTGGGACCACCCGCCACCACGTCCAGCTAATTTTTTGTATTGTTAGTGGAGATGGGGATTCACCGTGTTAGCCAGGATGGTCTGGATCTCCTGACCTCATGATCCGCCCACCTCAGCCTCCCAAAGTGCTGGGATTACAGGAGTGAGCCACCGCGCCCGGCCTAGTAAATGTTTTCTAATATGAAGAAAATGGAATCAATAAAATTATTCTGACAAGTCAAGTTGAAGATGTTTTGTAGTTTAAGCCAAGTACCTCTCAATTTTATTGTGGTACTTACATACTATATATTTCCCAGGAGCTGAAATCATTGCAATATTTAATTGCCTGACAATTATTTCTGTTACATCAATTTTGTGGTTAAACTAATTATTTGTATTATCAAAACAAATCAGCACTAGAGGCTAATTAAACTGGATAAACCATTCTCCAATGTTTCCCAACCTACATATTAATAAGGTTTAGTTTATTACTAACTTCAGAAAGAATGAACATGTCCTACAGGTGATAGTTTGATAGGCAGAACTTAAGAATTTAAAGAAGTTTGAAACTGTTGTGAACATTATTATCGCCTCTTGAGCAGTGGGTATATATAGGATTTTTTTTACTACATCTTGCAACATTGAGTGGCCCACTACCTAGTTATCCACAAGGTGGCAGCTCTATTTACATGGGCACCAACACCTAATACACTAGTTTATCCCTTTTCATTTAACAAAATATAATATGTAAAGTATATAGATAACTTTTGTATATGAATGATCACAGTTAGGTAATTTTTCAGTTTTAGAAGAATAAGCCATGAAAGATAGATATCTATTAAAACCTATTGAAAAGCAGGAACTTTAAAAAGTTCCTGCAGCAATTATTGAAAAAGGCAGAACTTTAAAACATTGAATTTTTACTAGCACAAATTCCGATGTTCCATCCCAAATTTATTTCAGAGGTTAGTCTATTTATAATAAATTGTTTTTATTTTGTTTCTACAAAGTCTTATGTTGCTTTTAAAAAATGCAAAGTTAGTCTTCAAAATAACTGCGCCTATGTAGCAATGATAACTCACTGTTACAATAAGAGAGATCTAGGAATTGTATTTTCCATCTAGTAAATTCTAGATATAAACCTCATAAGAATATTTATTTATTGACCTCACTTGAATTCCTTTTCTATACTTACTCATCTGCACTGTCATTTTTTTTCTCTATGTCTACCTTAAATCTATTTAAGGTAGCTTCAGTATAGTACCTTTATTTCTGTTTTCTGTGCAGATAAAAATTTTGAAAATACTTAGAATTATTAGGCCATATCACCTTTCTTTCCTGAGAATGGATAGCCCCAAGATATTTAACTATGTTTATGCATCAGTAAATTTTACTCTGGAGAAAGAGAAAATGATTTAGTAAGGATGAAGAAAAGTCTTCCTGCTTCTATGTTAAAGAAATACAAATTCTTAGACATGAAGGTAAGAAGCTATTGCTATTTTAGTGATTCAGCTTCTTGTTTTTAAATGCAAAGTGAAAGCATTGACTTATTAAAGATACCCCAATTTAACATAAACTTAAGCTTATTTGACTAGGTTTCCTTTGAATGTCATGGTTAACCTTTGTAACAAACCTAAAGTTCAATGAATAGAAAGATTTGTTTTTTACCGTGTTCTCTGAACAAGGATACCTTGTGTATTCATATTGCTCCTTAACTAAGGACACTTTACTTGCTTTCTTATAAATACATTTTGCTTCATTCCTAATATAAAATCTTACAACTCCACTTGGCATTTTTTTTTCATTCACTTCAATTTTCTTGCCTTTTGTCTCATGTAACCCAAATTAGATCAAATCAAGAATGACCGACTCTATCTTGACAAGTTTGGAGCAACATTAGTCTCATAGAAACTTAGAATTGAATTCAGATCTTGATGAAGAGCATATGAACACAACCACTTTGTGTTATACCAATAACAGGGGTTATTCATATAAAATCTTCTGTGCTCAAAACATTGCTTCAGACATATGAATGCTTACACATGAAAGACAGTGAAAAACCAATTGAAATACTAATGATTGTGCGTTATTTCACCTTACTACACCTTTGTAGTAGAAGAGTCTTCAAATCCTTCAAATACACATTACCATAAGGAGAAATAGTATTAGTATCATTGTAAAGGAAAAGAAAAATCATTATCATCATCATCATCATCATCACTAGTTGTTTGCTGACTTGGTGCTAGGCACTGTGCTCAACATTTTTCATTGGTTATTTAATTTGTTTTGTTTTATTTAGTTTGCAACAAATCTACAAGATAGGTCAATGTTAAGATTTTCAAAAGAGCTCTTAAGTACTATAAGCCAGTATTCTTCAACCATGTCCGCTTATTTGAATCTCAACTTGAAATGTCAAAATACAGGGCCCCATCAAACTACTTGAAACAAAATCTTTGAGAATGGGATGTAGGTGAGACTTTTCTGTGTTACTCTCCACATGATTTTCTCTGTGGCCAGGTTTAAAAATCACTCCCCAAACCCTCGGGTAAGTGAGCCACATGTTTTGATGCAATACCAGATTTCACTAAAATAAGTAAATGTGTTCTAAAAAATCTGAAATGAAAACTGTAAAAAAAGTAAAGTGCAGTTTTTATGTAAAATAATAGGTTGGAAGGTGAATAGAGAAAAATCCAGATTACTCTATCTCACTCGGGTAAAGAGATGGGTGTCAGTGGCATGGTAAGTTTGAGCAAAAACATTAGATGGAGTCTAATCTTGCAGGAAGTCAGTAGGGACAGAGAAAAATAACTTGACTAGTAGGAGGGAAACTATATGAACAGGTGCTGATTCAACATGCAGACTGCCCAGTAACATTAAGTTCTAGTACTAGGGAGTCCTGTGAAAGCCAGGATATCTACATTTACAGTTCATCAGTCCACATGTGAGTGAAGACTCCTCCTGCACACAATCTAGCACAAGTAATGCCTTTTCTTGACGCAAAACATTATTGAGACTCACCGTAAATGTTCTATACTCTTCTTTTCCAAGACCTAGGATGCATACAAACCCACTGACTCAGAGGATGGTACCTAAATGAATGGTGGTTATGTGGAATGAAAAGGTCCCAGTATCTGTATTTGGGTAGGGATGGACCCTGTGAAAACCAACTCTATGGCAGGAATAACAGATTAATTTTTCTAAAGAACTCTATGATTCCATAGAATTCTATTCATAAACCAAGCTTTGTGTCTACAATCTGCATTAGCTTCAGATTTCAATTGTACTTGCTCAAATATATACCAGCACTGATATTTCCAGAATCAGTCATTAAGCATCATCTGTAATAAAATATAATACATTTCTGAAGATGTAAATGAGAATACTGTCCTTGTTATACTCTTTATAATGAAGTACGTGTATCTATTTATCTGTAGATATAATTAAATAAATCTTATAAAAAGGTTTTAAGTAATCCACAATTAATCAGAAACCAGTTATAGAAATCCTAACGAATTCTAAGAGTTGTTTTTAATGTCTACTGCTATACATGTAACAGGCAGAGTAAGTTTATTTCTCCTTACATTTGAGGATGCTGTAATATATTTATTTTAAAATTGATTGTTTTATTTTTGTTTCATGAGGATCTGTCAACAGCAGTTGTAATTCAACTGTTCATTTAAATCTTACATTATTTCAGCCTTTTTTTCAGGACTTCCTTGTTTTCAGCAATATAGGGCTACAATAACTTTCTGTAAATTTGTTATTTTGTCAGACTTTGTTAAATAACCCTCCTTTTGATTTTGTGTAACTTTTTGCTAATTTTGCTATTAGCTGATATTAGGTAATGCATCTTCCACTACACTTTACCTGCAACAATTCAGTAACAGTGTACTCCTACAACCATAGGTCACCAAAACAGAAAATGCCTGGGTGCTCCTTTAGCCATTTTTTAAGTGGTTAAATTACAGCCACCCTTTCTGAACACTGTAGCCAGGCAACATAAATTAATGATCTTAGACCAGATCTTGATTGACTGTTGTCCAGGAACACATTATTCACCTTAATCCATGAATTCAGCAAAGGTAAATGATTACTCTAATGGCTATGGGAACTTTATGAATTGCCAAGACAAATAACAAGTAGTTACGACTGAAGCCTCTGTGAAATCACTGGCATATTTATCTTTCATCTCTGTCACTCCATGTTTGAAACTGTAGACCTGGAAAATACACTAGCTCTTTCCAGGTTAGATCAGGAAGAAAACAAAATCACTAAGTGGACACTGTAAAAATGCAGGAGATAATAAGAAATTGCTTTCTTCTGCCAGAGGCTATCTGCTCCTTGTATATCTGTTTTGCAATGCAACTAATAGAAGGTCAAAGCTGCTTGTAGGCTAGAAGGAAGGTATTCCTATCTCTTCATCACTCCTGCATTCAAAATCAATTAATAAAATGCTGGTAATAAACAAATGGTCATACATACATAACACTTTTTTAAACTGTAGACCTTACTGGAATACACAGTCTGACTTATAGGTACTGTATAACTTTCAGGTGCCTGGCCAGGCTCCCAAATATTTCCCAAATTCCAGATCTCAGAATGAGCCAACTGTGGCTCTTGGGATTTTCTGATGTAGAGAGTGGAAGGGGGCTTAGAGTTCATCCTCTTTGTGAAAGGAACTACCCACTTCACCAGGCCTGCTAAATTCTTCACATGCTCAAAAAACTTACTCCTTCCTAAATACTGTCCCTCATATAGAGGTGTCTTTCACTGATTTTAAATTACTCTATTTAAAACCTATCTCATCCTCTGTTTAGTATTGCTCTGTATAAAAACTGCCTAATGTTTCATTTCATACAAGATATGCTTACAGACCTTAAAACTAAAATCATGATATTGGCCAAAAAAAAAAAAAAAAAAAAATTCCCTCTTGAGATTCCAGGGCCGTCTGTCACAAGATCCTTGGGGTATTGCTTCACCAGCCAGAAACCTCTGTGCCTGGCGGCGCTTTCTCCCTGAGTATTGCCTGTGCCTGCTGGATTCATTCTGTCCACTCGGCTTGGCAGGCTGCACTCAGCTCACACTAACAGCCTGAATCTCGCATCTGCCAAGGGCAAGCCAGGTGCAGAGTGGCAAAGGGTGTATGGGCAAGTGATGCGGGGTCTGGCCACTGCATATAGCCAGGCACATCAGCGGCTCTGGCAGGGTGAGCAGCTCCACACACCGGCACATGTGCCAGTTCCATGCAAGGCTGTGGCTGGACCAGAGGTATTTACTGCATGGAGCTTCTGCTACAGGCACTCACATCTGGATGCGGGTAACACGGTGGTGCCCAGAAGCCTGGAGATGCAAGGAACCATAGAGCCACAAGAGGGTGTCACAGGCCTGACTCAGAGAGCCCCCAGGTCTGGACTCCCAGAAGGGCCGCAGCTCTTCTCTCCTTCTCGTCGCCCGCAATGTGGTGAGTGGGAGGGTGTATTTCAGCACTGTTGGTGTCACAGCTCTTTCAGTCCCACCATTTGGTGGGTCCCGAGTTCTTGTCATGTGTCCAGGAAGAATGAGATACAAGGACAACTGGAGAGTGAGCAAGGCAGAGAGGAGTTTCATTGAACGATAGAACAGCTCTCAGGAGAACCATAGTGGGTACCTCCTTTCTGCAGGCAGATCAGCCCAACGAGTTGAGGAGACCTGAAGTGGGTACCTCCTTCCTGTAGCTGGTAGTCTCCACATCTGTCTGAGTCTGACTAAGTCTGGGGTTTTTATGAACTCAGAAAGGAAGAAGTGCATGCTGATTGGTTCATGGGCAGCCATGGGTGGGCCCAGAAAAAGCACAAGTTCTCACTCTGGGCCACGACTCCCCTTGGAATTGGCATCCTGCCCCCAGGCTTCTGGCTGTCCCTAGCTTGAAGGTGGGGTTTCTCTGGGGAACCACCCCTTTCATCCCAGGAGCCTGTCTGCTTCCAGCCGCAATCAACATGCAATCTATAGCACCCAGGTTGTTTGTGTGGAGGGTTGCAAATAGGCCCACGCGGAGCTACCTTCGGCATCCACTGGCATCTCTCCCTAAGCTCCTTGCTGCACAATGTCCGGAGGGGGCCAAGGCAGCAGGGGACTGGCATGTAAGCGCCTTGCCGAGCATGCGCACACCCAGCTGGGTTGCAGCACCACTGGCGATCCGTCTCAACTTTGCTCCGAAATGGGAGCAGTCGCCAGGAGCGAGGAAGAGCAGAAACAAGCACTTCCCACCCTGCGGAGACAGGGGGGCTTCCCAGGCCCCAAGAGCACAGGGATGTCCCGATTCGGAGCTAGGGCTGGGCCTGGGAGCGTGGGGCTCCCACCCGGCCAACACAGTAGGGGGCAGGGCTCCCACCTGTTTAGGCTCCACAGAGTGGGCAGCCCCAGTCATGCCTCCTCCTCTGCAACCGATGTCCCCTGGAAGGACACATATTTCTACATTGATGAAACCTATGGAGGCCCTAGCAGAATGAAAGAAAAAGACTGAGATTAAGGGACATTGTTAAAAAATTTTAAATTACTAGGGATAAAGAGAAGGTCCTGCAAGTCTAATGTGAAAAAACAAAACAAAACAAAACAAAACAAAAACGAGTCATAAAAATGTTCAGGAGTCAGACCATCACCACTTGCATGTCAGCAAATGGAGGATGAAGGTATACAGTTTTGTTACTATATTGAAAGGGTAGGAGAGCACAAGGGCAAAAATACAACATTCAGGATTTTAAAAGATAACTGAGGAATTAAATGCATGGTTTCATATGCTTTTCATATCTTCAACAGGTACACATAGAATGCTTGAGGTTAAACCTTGATCCTCCATTTGCTGAGAAATTACTTAACATTTAGGTGAGTGCATAGTTCTTCTCTCTTCTTCACCAAAATATAGAAATTCTATGACTTGCAACGTACAAGGCACCTAGCATGTAGTAAATGGTCAAGATATATTAGCTGTAATTTATATTATATTTACATCTATTTCCATACAAATCAGTTATGCAATTCAGGGTAATTCACTTAGCAACTTAGAGAAACAGATTTGCCTCTAGTATCATGACTGTTCTAAAACTCAAATTTATTATTGGATTTCTGAATTACAAATGAGTGAATTTAGGTAAAGCAGCTTCAGTATAATAAGATCATTTCAATAGTTTTCATAACTCAGCACCCTGACTAGTAACATAATAGCCCCATGTCATAAAGCATACAACACTAGATATGAAAAGTCTTATTTTGTTGAAGGTTCTGAATAAAGCCCAGATTATCTACTATAAAAACTTATTTTTTTCCTTTTTTTGAACAACATTGTTACAATTGTAACACCTGTAATTCAAGAAAAAAATTTGTTGAATGTGGTGAGAGGAAGCTAACCAATTTTAATGTAGGCATTTTACTATTCATTAGCATTATTTTACTACATAGACACATAATTAACAGATAAATAGGCTTTATTGCATTAGGGTATATTAAAATTAAATCTGCTCAAAAAATGGAAGGACAAGTTGGAGTATCAAATAAAAATTTATATCAAATCCTTATTAATATGTTTGCAGAGAATTAGGTGGTAAGAGAATTAAAAACACAGAGACAAAAGAGAAACATGCCCTTGTAAAAACGCTTGTTGTCCACAGCTGGCTCCCACCCACCTTTTATTGTTTCAACCCTTTGCTCCCACTGAAAGTAAGCACATCTGTCCCTTAAAGTACTGTCTTAATTCTAAACTCGTTTCTCAATGTACCCTGTTTAATAGCTATGTGGTTACTTAGGGCCTTTTAAAATTAGAATATGATGCAGGCACAGCCATACCCTGATAGGCAGAAATAGCCAGAAGCCTACTACCTTTTATTTTTAAATTTATCAAAGTTAACATTGAATAATTTACAATGTGCCAATTTCCTAATAGAAAGAAACCTCCAAATCAAATTATTTTCATAGTAAGGTGTGTTTCCATAGGAAATGAAGCAGAGTTAGTTATTATCTGCACTTACTTTCTCTAGAATAGCTCCACTATTAGAATTGGATCAGAGCATAGAGTGTAAGTCAGAGATTCTTCTGTTCAATTATTGACTGTATATTTTATGCACCATGACAAGGAGCAAGTTATTTACCTTCCCTGAACAATGTTGTCTAACTTGTGATCTTTCTCAAAGGCTTCTTAAAGTTATTAAAAAGAGAAATATATTATATAAATTATTTAGATCATTATTTAGTACTTGCTAATTGGTAATTGCTCAAGGGACAAATTTTTCCCATATCCCATTATATTTTTATATAATAAAAATATCTTTGAAACAGAAACAAAGCTATATACCTTTTTTTTCCATTGAAGAGAAAGGTTTGTTCATTAAACAGCATATATAGCTACTCAAATGAAGGTTTTGTTCATTAAACATCATATATAGCTACTCATAAGTATTAAACAGAACCATGAGGAACAATGGAGCACATGATAAAGTAAAACTGTGTCTGAGAGAAGCAGCATCTTAAAACATTTGTGTGGCAGTTATAAATACTTGTCTAGCACTACCTTGTACAGAGTAGTAGCTCATTAAACATGTATTGAATTGATTTGACATTTTAAGAATTGGTGAACCTCTGCAGCAGAACATATTTAAAAACCCAAATTGCATCAACTTCACTTCTATTCATTCAATAGACAAAAATTGAAGACCTTATATAATGCCAGACATTGAATTAATTGCTATGATGCAAACATGAATATGACTCATACTTCAGTTTCAAGGAAACCTTAGTCAAGGGAGAGCTTGAAACCTTAAATAAAATATACCAGACCAATTTTCTTACTGGTCAGTTAACATAAACGAAAGTTTACCTAGAAGGCTGAAATGTCAAATATTTCTGTTCCTCATTTGAATTAGTAAAAAAACATCAGCAAGCTATTAGAAGCAATTTCCTGAGAAAAGTAACTTTTAAGATATATAATAATGTCATGACTGATTCAGACCAATATTTTGCAACCCGTGTATCTATCGTACTCTATTGATTTTCAATATGCACAACCAAGACCAAGAGGC